>NC_000012.12:37611643-37763158 GCF_000001405.40 Homo sapiens | reverse complement strand
TCTTTTTATTCTTTTTCCTCTAAACTTCCCTTCTTGCTTCATTTCATTCATTTCATCTTCCATCACTGATACCCTTTCTTCCAGTTGATCGCATAGGCTCCTGAGACTTCTGCATTCTTCACATAGTTCTCAAGCCTTGGCTTTCAGCTCCATCAGCTCCTTTAAGCACCTCTCTGCATTGGTTATTCTAGTTATACGTTTGTCTAAATATTTTTCAAAGTTTTCAACTTCTTTGCCTTTGGTTTGAATTTCCTCCTGTAGCTTGGAGTAGTTTGATCATCTGAAGACTTCTTCTCTCAACTTGTCAAAGTCATTCTCCATCCAGCTTTGTTCTGTTGCTGGTGAGGAACTGCATTCCTTTGGAGGGGGAGAGGTGCTCTGCTTTTTAGAGTTTCCAGTTTTTCTGCTCTGTTTTTTCCCCATCTTTGTGGTTTTTTCTACTTTTGGTCTGTGATGTTGGTGATGCACAGATGGGTTTTTGGTGTGGATGTCCTTTCTCTTTGTTAACTTTCTTTCTAACAGACAGGACCCTCAGCTGCAGGTCCGTTGGAGTTTGCTAGAGGTCCACTCCAGACCCTGTTTACCTGGGTAACATCAGCGGTGGCTGCAGAACAGCAGATTTTCATTATCTGCAACTTCTGCTGTCTGATTGTTCCTCTGGATCTTGTGTCTCACAGGAGTACCCAGCTGTGTGAGGTGTCAGTCTGCCCCTACTGTGGGGTGCCTCCTAGTTAGGCTGCTCAGGGGTCAGGGGTCAGGGACTCACTTGTGGAGGCAGTCTGCCCATTCTCAGTTCTCCAGCTGCATGCTGGGAGAACCACTTCTCTCTTCAAAGCTGTCAGACAGGGACATTTAAGACTACAGAGTTTACTGTTGTCTTTTTGTTTGTCTGTGCCCTGCCCCCAGAGGTGGAGCCTACAGAGGCAGGCAGGCCTCCTTGAGCTGTGGTGGGCTCCACCCAGTTTGAGCTTTCCAGCTGCTTTGTTTACCTAATCAAGCCTGGGAAATGGCAGGCGCCCCTCACCCAGCCTCACTGCTGCCTTGCAGTTTGATCTCAGACTGCTGTGCTAGCAATCAGTGAGACTCCGTGGGCATAGGACCCTCTGAGCCATGTGTGGTATATAATCTCCTGGTGCGCCATTTTTTAAGCCCATCAGAAAAGCGCAGTATTAGGGAGGGAGTGACCTGATTTTCCAGGTGCCATCTGTCACCCCTTTCTTTGACTAGGAAAGAGAACTCCCTGACCCCATGTGCTTCCTAAGTGAGTCAATTCCTCTCCCAGCTTTGGCTCATGCAGGGTACACTGCACCCACTGTCCTGCACCCACTGTCTGGCCCTCCCTACTGAGATGAACCCGGTACCTCAGATGGAAATGCAGAAATCACCCATCTTCTGCTTCACTAACACTGGGAGCTGTAGACTGGAGCTGTTCCTATTTGGCCATCTTGGCTGCTTCCCCTACAAAGAGGTTTCTCAGAATGCTTCAGTCATGTTTTTATGTGAAGTTATTTCCTTTTTCACCATAAGCCTCAAAGTGCTCACAAATATCTGTTTGCAGATTCTTCAAAAAGACTCTTTCCAAACTGCAAAATCAAAATAAATGTTCACCTCTGTGAGATGAATGCACACAACACAAAGAAGTTTCTCAGAAAACCTATGTCTAGTTTTTATGTGCAGATATTCCATTTTTCTCCATAGGCCTAAAACAGCTCATAAACATCCTTTTGCAGATTCTGCAAAAAGACTGTAGCAAAATTGCTCAATCAAGAGAAAGGTACAACTCAGTGTGATGAATTCACCTATCACAAAGAAGTTTCTCAGAATGCTTCTGTCTAGTTTTTATGTGAAGATAATTCCTTTTTCACCAAAGACTTCAAAGCGTTCCAAATTATACACTTGCAGATTCTACAAAAAGATTGTTTCCAAATTGCTCAATCAAAAGAAAGATTCAACTCTGGGAGATGAAAACACACAACACAAAGAAGTTTCTCAGAAGGCTTCTATCTAGTTTTTATGTGAGGATATATCCTTTTTCACCACAGGCCCTAATGGGCTCACAAATATCCCTTTTCAGATTCTAAGAAAAGACGGTTTTGAAACAGCTTAATCAAAAGAAAGATTCAAATCTGTGAGATGAATGCACTCAGCACAAGGAAGTTTCTCAGAAAACATTAGTCTAGTTTTTATGTGAAGATATTTCCTTGTTCACCATAGGCCTCATAGTGCTCCAAATATCTCTTTGCAGATTCTAGAAACAGATGGTTTCCAATGTGCTAAATCAAAAGAAAGGTTCAACTCTGTGAGATGAATGCACACATCAGAAAGAAGTTGTTCAGAAAGCTTCTGACTAGTTTTTATGTGAAGACATTTCCTTTTTCACCATAAGCCTCAAAGCGTTAACAAATATCTGTTTGCAGATCCCTCACAAAGACTGTTTCCAAACTGCTCAATCAAAATAAATGTTCACCTCTGTGAGATGAATGCACACGCCACAAAGAAGTTCCTTCGAGTGCTTCTGTCTAATTCTTATGTGAAGACATTTCCATTTTTACCATGCGCCTCAAAGCAGTCCAAATATCCCATTGCAGACTCTACAAAAAGACTATTTCCAAATTGCTCAATAAAAAGAAACATTCAACTTTGTGAGATGAATGCACACGCCACAAAGAAGTTAGTCAGAAAGCTTCTGTCTAGTGTTTATGTGAAGATATTTCCTTTTTCACCACAGGCTCCAAGTTGCACAAAATATCCCTTTGCAGATTGTACAAAAAGACTGTTTCCAAACTGATAAATCGAAGGAATGGTCAACTCTGTGAGATGAAATCTCACATCACAAAGAAGTTTCTCATAAAGGTTCTGTCCAGTTTTTATGTGAAGATATTTCATTTTTCACCATAGGCCTCAAAGGGCCCACAAATATCCATCTGCAGATTCCACAAAAACACTGTTTCCAAACTGCTCAATCAAACAAATGTTCAATTCTGTGAGATGAAAGCACACATCAGAAAGAAGTTCCTCAGAAAGCTTCTGTCTAGTTTCTCTGTGGAGATATTTCCTTTTTCACTATACATCTTAAAGTGATCCAAATATTGCATTTCAGATTCTACAGAAAGACTGTTTCCAAACTGCTAAATCAAAAGAAATGTTCAACTCTGTGAGATGAATGTATACGTCACAAAGAAGTTTGTCAGAAAACTTCTGTCTCATTTTTATATGAAGATATTCCTTATTTCTCCATAGGCCTAAAAGAGCTCACAAATATCCTTTTGCAGATTCTACAAAAAGACTGTTTCCATACGCTCAACCAAAAGAAAGGTTGAAATCTGTAAGATGAATGCACACATTACAAAGAAGTTTCTCAGAAAACTTCTATTTTTTATGTGAAGATAATTCCTTTTCACCATACTCTTCAAAGTGCTCCAAATATCCCTTTATAAATTCTGCAAAAAGACTGTTTCAAAACTGCTCAATAAAAGGAAAGGTTCAACCATCTGAGATGAATTCACACATCACAAAGAAGTTTCTCAGAATGCTTCTGTCTAGTATTTATGTGAAGATATTTCGTTTTTCACCATAGGCTTCAAAGCACTCCAAATATACACTTGCAGATTCTACAAAAAGACTGTTTCCAAATTGCTCAATTAAAACAAAGGTTCAACACTGTGAGATGAAAGCACACAACACAAAGAAGCTCAGAAAGCTTCTGTCTAGTTTTCATGTGAAGATATGTCCTTTTTCACGGCAGGCTTCAAAGTGCTCACCAATATCCCTGTGTAGATTCTAAAAAAAGACGGTTTCATAATGGCCTATCAAATTAAAGGTTAAATCTGTGAGATGAATGCACTCAACACAAAGAAGTTTCTCAGAAAGCTTTGATCTAGTTTTTATGTGAAGATATTTCCTTGTTCACCATAGGCCTCAAAGTGCTTGAAATATCCCTTTGCAGATTTTAGAAACAAACTGTTTCCAACGTGATCAATCAAAAGAAAGGTTCAACTCTGTGAGATGAATGCACACATATGCAACAAAGCAGTTGCTCAGAATGCTTCCGTCAGGTTTTTATTTGGAGGTATTTCCTTTTTCACCATAAGCCTCAAAGCACTCACAAATATCTGTTTGCAGATTCTACAAAAAGACGTTTCCAACCTGCTCAGTCAAAAGAAATGTTCAACTGTGTGAAATGAATGCACACGTCACAAAGAAGTTTCTCAGAAAGCTTTTGTCTAGTTTTTATGTGAGGATATATCCTTTTTCACCAAATGCCTCAAAGCACTCCAAATATCCATTTCAGATTATATAAAAAGACTGTTTCCAAACTTCTCAATCAATAGAAACTTTCAACTCTGTGAGATAAATGCACACATCAGAAAGAAGTTTGTCAGGAAAGTTCTGTCTAGTTTTTAAGTGAAAATATTTCCTTTTTCACCATAGGCCTCAAACCACTCAAAAATATCCTTTTGCAGATTCTACAAAAAGACTGTTTCCAAACTGCTCAATCAAAAGAATGGTTTAAATATATAAGATGAATGGACAAATCACAAAGAAGTTTCTCAGAGAGCTTTTGTCTAGTTTATATGTGAAGATATTTCCTTTTTCACGATAGGCCTCAAAGTGCTCCAAATATCCTTTTGTAGTTTCTATAAAAAGACTGTTTCCAAACTGATCTATCAAAAGAATGGTTCAACTCTGTGAGATGAAAGCTCACATCACTAAGGACTTTCTCAGAAATATTCTGTGTAGTTTATATGTGAAGAGATTTTCTTTTTCACCGTAGTACTCAAAGGGCTCACACAAATCCCTTTGCAGATCCTACAAAAAGACTGTTTCCAAAATGCTCAATCAAAAGAAATTTTCCACTCTGCAAGATGAATGCACACATCTCAAAGTAGTTTCTCTGTAAGCTTCTGTCTATTTTTTAATTGAAGATATTTCATTTTTCACCATAAGCCTCAAATTGCTCTAAATATCCCTTTAGAGATTTTACAAAAAGAATGTTTCCAAACTGCTCAATCAAAGGAAATGTTCAACTTTGTGAGATCAATGCACACCTGGCAAAGAAGTTTCTCAGAAAGCTTCTGTCTAGTTTGTATGTGAAGATATTTCCTTTTTAACCATAGGCCTCATATTGCTCCTAATATCCCTTTGCAGATTCTACAAAAACAGTGCTTCCAAACTGATCAATCAAAAGAATCGTTCAACTCTGTGAGAAGAAAGCACACATGACAAAGAAGTTTCTTGGAAAGCTTCTATCCAGTTTTTATGTGAAGATATTTCCTTTTTTACCATAGGACTCAAAGGGCTTCAAATATTCCTTTGCAGACTGTACAAAAAGACTGTTTCCCAACTGATCAACTGAAGGAATGGTTCAACTGTGTGAGATGAAAGTACACATCACAAAGAAGTTTCTCAGAAAGCTTCTGTCCAGTTTTTATATTAAGATATTTCCTTTTTCACTGTAGGCCTCAAAAGGCTCACAAATATCCCTCTGCAGATTCTACAAAAAGACTGTTTCCAAACTGCTCAATCAAAAAAAAAGTTCAACCCTGTGAGATGAAAGCACACATCACAAAGAAGTTCCTCAGAAAGCTTCGGTCTAGTTTTTATGTGAAGATATTTCATTTTTCACAATAGACCTCAAAGTGCTCGAAATATCCCTTTGCAGATTCTACTAACAGACTCTTCTCGAAGTGCTCAATGAAAGGAAAGGTTCAACTCTGTGAGATGAATGCACACATCAAAAATATTTGCTCAGAATGCTTCTATCTAGTTTTTATGTGAAGATATTTCCTTTTTCAACATAGGACTGAAAGCACTCAAAAATATCTGTTTGCAAATTCTACAAAAAGAATGTTTCCAAACTTCTCAATCAAAATAAATTTTCAACTCTGTGACATGAATGTATGCATCACAAAGAAGTTACTCGGAAAGCTTCTCTCTAGTTTTTATGTGAAGATATTTCCTTTTTCACAATATGCCATAAAACGATCCAAATATCCCATTTCAGATTCTACAGAAAGACTGTTTCCAAACTGCACAATCAAAAGAAACGTTCAAACTCTGTGAGATGAATGCACACATCACAAAGAAGTTTGTCAGAAAACTTCTGTCTAGTTTTTATGTGAAGATATTCCCTATTTTTCCATAGGCCTGAAAGAGCTCACAAATATCGTTTTGCAGATTCTGCAAAAAGACTGTTTCCAAACTGCTCAATCAAAAGAAAAGTTCAACCCTGTGAGATGAATTCACACATCACAAAGAAGTTTCTCAGAATACTTCTGTCTAGTATTTATGTGAAGATATTTCATTTTTCACCATAGGCTTCAAAGTGCTCCAAATATATACACTTGCAGATTCTACAAAAAAAAATTTCCAAATTGCTCAATTAAAAGAAAAGCTCATCTCTGTGAGATGAAAACACACAACACAAAGAAGTTTCTCAGAAAACTTCTATCTAGTTTTTATGTGAAGATATATCCTCTTTCACCACAGGCCTCAAAGGGCTCACAAATATCCCTTTGCAGATCCTAAAAAAAGATAGCTTTGAAACGGCTTATCAAATTTGATAAGCCAGCTTATCAAATAGCTTATCAAAGTGCTCCAAATATTCCTTTTCAGATTTTACAAAAAGTCTGTTACCTAACTGCTCCATCAAAAGAAAGTATCAAATCTGTTAGATGAATGTACTCAACACAAAGAAGTTTCTCAGAAAGCTTTGGACTAGTTTTTATGTGGAGATATTTCCTTGTTCAACATAGGCCTCAAAGTGCTCCAAACATCCCTTTGCTGATTCTAGAAACAGATTGTTTCCGATGTGCTCAATCAAAAGAGAGGTTCAACTCAGTGAGATGAAGGCACACATCACAAAGCAGTTGCTCAGAATGCTTCGGTCAGGTTTTTATGTGAAGGTATTTCCTTTTTCACCATAGGCCTCAATGTGCTCACTAATATCTGTTTACAGATTCCACAAAAAGACTGTTTCCATACTGCTCAATCAAAAGAAAGTTTCACCTCTGTGAGATGAATGCACACATCACAAAGAAGTTTGTTAGAAAGCTTCTGTCCAGTTTTTATGTGAAGATATTTCCTTTTTCACCATAGGCATAAAGGGCCCACAGATATCCCATTTGCAGATTATACAAAAAGGCTCTTTCCAAACTACTCAATCAAAAGAAAGTTTCAACTCTGTGAGATGAAAGAACAGATCACAAAGAAGTTCCTCAGAAAGCTCTGTCTCGTTTTTATGTGAAGATAATTCCTTTTTCACCATACGCCTCAAAGCACTCCAAATATCCGTTTTCAGATTTTACAAAAAGCCTGTTACCAAACTGCTCCATCAAAAGAAAGTATCAAATCTGTGAGATATAGGCACACATCACAGAGAAGTTGCTCAGAAAGCTACTGTCTAGTTTTTATGTGAAGATAATCCCTTTTTCACCATAGGCCACAAAGTGCTCACAAATATCTGCAGATTCTACAAACAGACTGTTTCCAAAGTTCTCAATCAAAAGAAAGGTTCAACTCTGTGAGGTGAATGCATACCTGACAAAGAAGTTTCTCAGCAAGCTTCTGTCTAGTTTTTATATTAAGATATTTCCTTTTTCACATAGGCCAGAGATTGCTCCAAATATCCCTTAGCAGATTCTACCAAATGACTGTTTACATACTGATCAATCAAAAGAACACTTCAAGTCTCTGAGTTGAAACCACACATCACAAAGAAGATTCTCAGAAAGCTTCTGTTCAGTTTTTATGTGAACATATTTCCTTTTTTACCATAGGACTCAAAGGGCTTACAAATATTCCTTTGCAGAATATACAGAAGGACTGTTTCCAAACTGCTCAATGAAAGGAAAGGTTCAAGTCTGTGAGATGAATGCACACGTCACAAAGAAGTTTCTCAGAAAATTTATGTCTAGTTTTTATGTGAAGATATTTCCTTTTTCACCATACTCCTTAAAGCACTCCAAATATCCTTTTTCAGATTCTACTAAAAGATTTTTTCCAAAATACTCAATCAAAGAAAGGTTCAACTCTGTGAGATGAAAGCACACATCACAAAGAAGTTTCTCAGAAAACTTCTGTCTAGTTTTTATGTGAACATATTTCCTTTTTCACCATAGGCCTCAAAGGGCTCCCAAACATCCCTTCACAGATTCTACAAAAAATCTGCTTCCAATCTGCTCAATCAAAAGAATGAGTCAACTCTGAGAGTTGAATGAACATATCACAAACAAGTTTCTGAGAATGCTTCTGTCTAGTTTTTATGTCAAGATATTTCCTTTTTCACAATAGGCCTCAATGAAATTCAACTATCCACTTGCAGATTATAAAAAAAGATGGTTTCCAACCCTGCTCCATCAAAAGAGAGGTTTAATTCTGTGAGATGAAACCACACATCACAAAGAAGTTTCTCAGAAAGCTTCTGTTTAGTTTTCATGTAAAGATATTTCCTTTTTCACCATAGACCTCAAAGGGGTCACAAATATCCCTTTGCAGATACTATGAAAAGACTGTTTCCAAACGGATTAATCAAAAGAAAGGTTGAAATCTGTGAGCTGAATGCACTCATCAAAAGAAGTTTCTCAGAAAGCCTTGGTCTAGTTTTTATGTGAAGATATTTACTTTTTCACCATAGGCCTCAAAGTGCTCATGAATATCTGTTTGCAGACGCTAAAAAAAGACTGCTTCGAAACTGCTCAATCAAAAGAAAGGTTCAACTCTGTGAGATGAATGCACACATCACAAAGAAGTTTCTCAGAATTCTTCTGTCTAGTTTTCATGTGGAGATATTTCCTTTTAAACAAAAGGCCTCAAAGCGCTCCAAATATCTGTTTACAGATTCTACAAAAAGACTTTTTCCAAACTGCTCAATCAAAAGAAAGTTTCAATTCTCTGAGATGAATGCACAAGTCACAAAGGAGTTTCTCAGAAAGCTTCTGTCTAGTTTTTATGTACAGATATTTCCTTTTTCACCAAACCTCTCAAATCGCTCCAAATATCCATTTCAGATTATATAAAAAGACTGTTTACAAAGTGCTCAATCAAAAGAAACATTCAACTCTGTGAGATTAATGCACACCTGGCAAAGAAGTTTCTCAGAAAGCTTCTGTCTAGTTTTTATATTAAGATATTTCCTTTTTAACCATAGGCCTCATATTGCTCCTAATATCCCTTTGCAGATTCTACCAAATGACTGTTTCTATAAGGATCAATTGAAAGAATGGTTCAACTCTGTGACATGAAACCACATATCACAAAGCAGATTCTCAGAAAGCTTCTGTCCAGTTTTTACATGAAGATATTTCCTTTTATACCATAGGACTCAAAGGGCTTACAAATATTCCTTTGCAGATGGTACAGAAATACTGTTTCCAAACTGCTCAACCAAAGGAAAGGTTCAACTCTATGAGATGAAATAACACTTCACAAAGAAGTTTCCCAGAAGGCTTCTGTCTAGTCCTTATGTGAAGATATATCATTTTTCATCATAAGCCTCAAAGCGCTCCAAATATCCATTTGCAGATTCTGCAAAAAGACTGTTTCCAAACTGCTCAATCAAAAGAGAGGTTCAACTCTGTGTGATGAGTGCACTCATCAGAAAGAAGTTTCTCAGAAAGCTTTGGTCTACTTTTTATGTGAAGACAATTCCTTTTTCACCATAGGTCTCAAAGTGCTCCAAATATCCCTTCACAGATTCTACAAACAGACTGTTTCCAAAGTGCTCAATCAAAAGTATGATTCAACTTTGTGAGATGAAAGCACACATCACAAAGAACTTTCTCAGAAACCTTCTGTGCAGTTTTTATGTCAATATATTTCCTTTCTCACCATTGGCCTAAATAGGGCTCACAAATATCCCTTTGCAGGTTCTACAAAAGGACTGTTTCTAAACTGCTCAATCAAAAGAAAGGTTCAATTCTATGAGATGAATGCAGACATCACAAAGAAGTTTATCAGAATACTTCTGTCTAGTTTTTTGTGAAGATATTTCCTTTTTCACCATAGGCCTCAAATTGCTCCAAATATCCTTTTACAGATTTTACAAAAAGGCTCTTTCTAAACTGCTCAATCAAAAGAATGGTTCACCTCTGTGAGATGAATACACACATCACAAAGAAGTTGCTCAGAATGCTTCTGTCTAGTTCTTATGTGAAGATATTTCCTCTTTCACCATTTGCTTCAAAGCACTCCAAATATCCCTTTGCAGATTCCATAAAAAGACTATTTCCATACTGCTCAATGAAAAGAAATGTTCAACTCAGTGACATGGAAGCACACATCACAAAGAAGTTTCTGACAAAGCTTAAGTCTAGTTTTTATGTGAAGATATATATTTTTTCACCATAGTCCTCAAATTGTTCCAAATATCCCCTTGCAGATGTTACAAAAAGACTGTTTCCAAACTATTCAATTGAAAGAATTGTTCAACTCTGTGACATGAAAGCACACATAACAAAGAAGTTTCTCAGAAAGCTTCTGTCCAGTTTTTATGTGAAGATATTTATTTTCTTACTATAGGCCTCAAAGGGCTCACAAATATCTCTTTGCAGATTCTACAAAAAGACTGTTTCCAAACTGCTCAATCAAGGGAAACGTTCTACTCTACGAGATGCATGCATTCATCACAAAGAAGTTTCTCAGAATGCTTCTGTCCAGTTTTTATATGAAGATATTTCCTTTTTCACCACAGACCTGAAAGCGCTCCAAATAACCACTTACAGATTCTACAAAAAGACTATTTCCAACCTGCTCAATTAAACAAATATTCAACTCTGTGAGTTGAATGCACACATCACAAAGAAGTTTCTCAGAAAGCTTCTGTCTAGTTTTTATGTGAAGATATTTCCTTTTTCACCATAGGACTCAAATTGCTCCATATATCCCTTTGCAGATTCTAGAAAAGACTGTTCTCAAACTGATCAATTGATAGAATGGTGTCAACTCTGTGAGATGACAGTGCACATCAAAAAGAAGTTTCTCAGAAAGCTTCTGACCAGTTTTTTTATGAAGATATTTCCTTTTTTACCATAGGCCTCAAAGGGCTCAAAAATATCCCATTGTGGATTCTGCAAAAAGACTGTTTCCAAACTGCTCAATCAAAAGAGTGGCTCAACTCTATGAAATGAATGCAAACATCACAAAGAACTTTCTCAGAATGCTTCTGTCTGGTTATTATGTGAAGATATTTCCTTTTTCACCATGGGCCTCTAAGCGCTCCAAATATCTACTTGCAGTTTCTACAAAAAGAGTGTTTCAAAACTGCTCAATTAAAAGAAGTTTTCAAATCTGTGAGATGAATGCACACCTCACAAACAAGTTTCTCAGAATGCTTCTGTCTAGTTTTTATGTGAAGATAATTCCTTTTCAAATATAGGCCTCAAAGCACTCCAAATATCCATTTGCAGATACTACAAAAAGAGTGTTTCCAAACTGCTCAATCAAAAGAAAGGTTCAACTCTGTGAATTGAATGCACACATCACAAAGAAGTTTCTGAGAATGCTTCTGTCTAGTTTTTATGTAAAGATATTTCCTTTTCCACCATAGGCCTCAAATCGCTCCAGATATCCAGTTGCAGATTCTATAAAAAGACTGTTTCCAAACTGCTCTATGAAAAGAAAGGTTCAACTCTATGAGATGAACCCACACTTCACAAAAAAGTTCCCCAGAAAGCTTCAATCCAGTTTTTATGTGAAGATATTTCCCTTTCCACCATAAACCTCAAATGGCTCAGAAATATCCCTTTGCAGATTCTACAAAATGACTGCTTCTAAATGGATTAATGAAAAGAAAGGTTCAACCCTGTGAGATGAATGCACTCATCACAAAGAAGTTTCTCAGAAACCTTTGGTTTGGTTTTTATGTGAAAATATTTCCTTTTTCACCATAGGCCTCAAAGTGCTCTAAATATCCATTTGCAGATTCTACAAACAGAATGTTTCCAAAGTGCTCAATCAAAAAATGGTTCAAATCTGTGAAACGAATGCACACATGAATAATAAGTTGATCAGAATGCTTTTGTCTATTTTTTATGTGAAGATATTTCCATTTTCACCATATACCTCAAAGAGCTGAGAAAAATCTGTTTATAGATTCTACAAAAAGACTGTTTCCAAACTGCTCAATCAAAAAAAATGTTCAGATCTTTGAGGTGAATGCAAACGTCAGAAAGAAGTTACTCAGAAAATTTCTGTCTAGTTTTCATGTGAAGATATTTCCTTTTTCACCATACACCTCAAAGCACACCAAATATCCCTTTTCAGGTTCTGCAAAAATTATGTTTCCTAACTGCTCAATGAAAGGAAACGTACAACTCTCAGAGATGAATGCTCACATCATAAAGAAGTCTGTCATAAAGCTTCCATCTAGTTTTTATATGAAGATATTTCCTTTTTCACCATAGTCCTCAAACAGCTCACATATATCCTACTGCAGATTGTGCAAAAATACTGTTTCCAAAATGCTCAATCAAGAGAAAGTTTCAAATCTGTGAGGTGAATGCACACATCACAGAGAAGTTTCTCAGAAAGCTTCTGTGTAGTTTTTACGTGAAGATATTTCCTTTTTCACCATAGGCCACAAAGGGATCGCAAATATCCTTTTGGAGATACTACAAAAAGACTCTTTCCAAACTGCTCAATCAAAAGGAAGGTTCAAACCTCTGAGCTGAATGCACACATCACAAAGAAGTTTCTCAGAATGCTTCGGTCTAGTTTTTATGTGAAGATATTTCCTTTTCAACCATAGGCCTCAAAGCGCTCCAAATATCCACTTGCAGATTCTACAAAAAGACTGCTTCTAAACTGCTCAATGAAAAGAAACGTTGAAAACTGTGAGATTAATGCAGATATCACAAAGAAGTTTGTCAGAATGCTTCTATCTAATTTTTATGTGAAGATATTTCCTTTTTCACCATAGGCCTAAGAGTGCTCCAAATATCCCTTTGCAGATTCTACAAAAAGACTGTTTCCAAACTGATCTTTCAAAAGAATGGTTCGGGTCTGTGAGATGAAAGCTCACATCACAAAGAACTTTCTCAGAAACGTCCTGTGTAGTTTTTATGTCAACATATTTCCTTTTTCACCATAGGCCTCAAAAGGCTCACAAATATCCCTTTGCAGATTCTACAAAAAGACTCTTTCCAAACTGCTTAATCAAAAGAATGTTTCAACTCTGTGAGATGAATGCACTCATCACAAAGAAGTTTCTCAGAAAACTTTTGCCTACTTATTATGTGAAGATATTTCCTTTTTCACCAAAGGCCTAACAGTGTTCCAAATATCCCTTTGCAGATTCTACAAACACACTGTTTCCAAAGTGCCCAATGAAAAGGAAAGTTCAACTCTCTGAGATGAATGCACACATTTAAAAGAAGTTGCTCAGAATGCTTCTGTCTAGTTTTTATGTGAAGATATTTCCTTTTTCACCAGAGGCCTCAAAGTGCTCAAAGATATCTGTTTGCAGATTCTACAAAAAGACTCTTTGCAAACTGCTCAATCAAAAAAAAAGGTTCAGTCTGTGAGATGAATTCACACATCACAAAGAAGTTGCTCAGAATGCTTCTGTCTACTCCTTATGTGAAGATATTTCCTTTTCACCACAGGCCTCAAATTGCTCCAAATATCACTTTGAACATTCCACAAAAATACTGTTTCCAAGCTGATAAACCAAAAGAATGCTTCAACTCTGTGAGATGAAAGCACACATCACAAAGAAGTTTATCAGAAGGCTTCTGTCCGGTTTTTATGTGAAGATATTTCCTTTTTTACCATAGCCCTCAAGGGGCTCACAGTTATCACTTTGCAGATTCTACAAAAAGACTGTTTCGAGACTGCTCACTCAAAAGAAAGGTTCAAATCTATGAGATGAATGTACACATCATGAAGAAGTTTCTCAGAGCTTTGGTCTAGTTTTTATGTGAAGATATTTCTTTTTTCACCATAGGCCTCAAAGTGCTCCAAATATTCCTTTGCAGATTCTACAAACAGACTGTTAACAAAGTGCTCAATCAAAGAAACATTCATGTCTGTGAGATGAATGCACATATCAGAAAGAAGTTTGTCAGAAAGCTTCTGTCTAGTTTTTATGTGAAAATATTTCCTTTTTCACCATAGGCTTCAAACCACCCACAAATATCCTTTCTCAGATTCCACAAAAAGGCTCTTTTCAACCTGCTCAATCAAAAGAAAGGTTCAACTCTGTGAGATGAATGCACACATCACAAAGAAGTTTCTAAGAATGCTTCTGTCTAGTTTTTATGTGAAGGTACTTCCTTTTTCACCATATTCCTTAAACTGGTCAGAAATATCCTTCTGCAGATACTTCAAAAAGACTGTTTCCAAACTGCTACATCAAAAGTAAGGTTCTACTCTGTGATATGAATGCACACATCACAAAGAAGTTTCTCTGAATGCTTCAGCCTAGTTTTTAAGTGAAGATATTTCCTTTTTCACCATAGGCATTAGACAGCTCAGAACTATCCCTTTGCAGATTGTACAAGAAGACATTTCAAAACTGCCCAATGAAAAGGAATTTTCAACTCTGTGAGATGAATGGAAAAATCACAAAGAAGTTACTCAAAAAGGTTCTGTCTAGTTTTTATTTGTAGATATTTCCTACTTCACCATGGGCCTCGAGCAGCTCACAAATATCTCTGTGCAGATTCTACAAAAACACTGTCTTCAAACTGCTCAATCAAAGGAAAGGTTCAATTCTGTGAAATGAATGCACACATTAAAAAGAAGTTCCTCGGAATGGTTCTGTCCAGTTTTTATGAGAATATATTTCCTTTTTCACCATTGGCCACAAACCGCTCACGAATATCCCTGTGCAGATTCTGCAAAAAGACTGTTTCCAAACTACTCAATCAAAACAAAGTTTCTACTCTGTCAGATGAATGTGCATATCAAAAAAGTTTCTCAGAAAGTTTCTGTCTAGTTTTTATGTAAAGATATATCCTTTTTCACCATAGGCCTCAAATCGCTCCAAGTATCCATTTGCAGATTCTACAAAAAGACATTTTACAAACTGCTCAACCAAAAGAAAATTTTGCCTCCATGAGAAGAAAGCAAACATAACAAATAAGTTTCTCAGAAAGCTTCTGTCTTGTTTTGATGTGAAGTTATTTCCTTTTTCACCATAGGCCTCAAACCACTCAAAATTATCCTGATGCAGATTCTACAAAAAGACTGTTTCCAAACTTCTCAATCAAAGAAAGTTTCAACTCTGTGCGAAGAAAGCACAAATCAAAAAGAAGTTTCTCAGAAAGCTTCAGTCTAGTTTATATGTGAAGATATTTCCCATTTCAAAATAGGCCTCAAACCGCTCAGAATTATCGCTGTGCAGATTCTACTAAAAGACTTTCCAAACTGCTCAATCAAAAGAAATGTTCAACTCTGTGAGATGAATGCACACATTAGAAAGAAGTTTCTCAGAATGTTTCTGTCTAGTATTTATCTGAAGATATTCCTTTTTCACCATAGGCCTCAAACCACTCAGAAATATCCCATTACAGATTGTACAAAATGACTGTTTCCAAACTGCTCAATTAAAAGAAAGGTGCAACTCTGTGACATGAATGCACACATCACAAATAAGTTTCTCAGAAAGATTCACTCTAGTTCTTATGTGAAGATATTTCCTTTATCACTATAGGCCTTAAAGCTCTCCAAATATCCATTTGCAGATTCTACAGAAAGACTGTTTCCAAAGTGCTCAATCAAAAGAAAGGTGCAACTCTGTGAGATGAAAGCACACATCACAAAGAAGTTTCTCAGAAACCTTCTGTCTAGTTTGTATTTGAAGATAATTCCTGTTTCACCATAGACCTCAATGGGCTCACAAATATCCCTGTGCAGATGATTCAAAAAGAGTCGTTCCAAACTGCTCAATCAAAAGAAACTTTCAACTCTGTGAGATGAAAGCACACATCACAAAGACGTTTCTCAGAAGGCTTCTGTCTGGTTTTTATGTGAAGATATTTCCTATTTCACCATAGAACTCAAAGGGCTCAAACATATCCCTTTGTGGATTCTACAAAAAGACGGTTTCCAAACTGCTCAATCAACAGAAATATTCAACTCTGTGAGATGAATGCACACATCCCAAAGAAGTTTCTCAGAATGCTTCTGTCTAGTATTTATCTGAAGGTATTTCTTTTTCACCATTGGCGTCAAACTGCTCAGAAATATCCCTTTGCAGACTATATAAAAGTAGTGTTTCAAAACTGCCCAATCAAAAGAAAGGTTCATCTCTGTGAGATGAATGTACGCATCACAAAGAAGTTTCTCAGAATATTTCTGTCTAGTTTTTTTGTGAAGATATTTCCTTTTTCAAAATAGGCCACAAACCACTCGTGGGTTTCCGTGTGCAGACTCTGTAAAAAGACTGTTTCCAAACTGCTCAATCCAAAGAAAGGTTCCACTCTGTCAGATGAATGCACACATCACAAGGAAGTTTCTCAGAAAGTTTCTGTCTAGTTTTTATGTGAAGATATTTCCTATTTCACCATAGGCCACCAATAGCTCCATATATCCATTTGCAGATTCTACAAAAAGACTGTTTACAAACTGCTCAATCAAAAGAAAAGTTCGACTCTGTGAGATGAATGCACACATCACAAAGAAGTTTCTAGGAAAGCTGTTTTCTATTTTTTACATGAAGATATTTCCATTTTCACCATAGGCCTCAATGGGCTCACAAATATCCTTGTGCAGATTATACAAACAGACTCTTTCCAAACTGCTCAATCAAAATAAAAGTTCAACTCTGTGAGACGAAAGCACACATCACAAAGAAGTTTCTCAGAATTCTTCTGTCTAGTTTTAATGTGAGGATATTTCCCATTTCACCATAGGCCGCAAACCGTTCACAAATATGTCTGTGCAGAATCTATGAAAACACTGTTTCCAAACTGCTGAATCAAAAGAAAAGTTCAACTTGGTGAGGTGAATGCACACATAAGAAAGAAGTTTCTCAGAAAGCTTCTGTATAGTTTTTATGTGAAGATATTTCCTTTTTCACCATAGGCCTCCATAGGCCCAAAAATATCCCTGGGCAGATTATACCAAAAGAGTGTTTCCAAACTGCTCAATCCAAAAAAAGGTTCAAGTCTGTTAGACGAATGCACACATCACAAAGTTTCTCAGAAACCTTCTGTATAGTTTTCATGTTAAGATATTTCCTTTTTCACAAAAGGCCTCAAAGCTCTCCAAATATCCTTTTGCAGATCCTGCAAAAAGAGAGTTTCCAAACTGTTTAATTAAAAAAAAAAAAAAAACGTTCAACTCTGTGAGAAGAAAGCACACATCACAAAGAAGTCTCTTAGAAAGCTTCTGTCTAATTTTTATGTGAGGATACTTCCTATTTCACCATAGGTCTCAGAGGTCTCACAAATATCCCTTTGCAGATTCTACAAAAAGCTGTTTCTAAACTGCTCAATCAAAATACAGATTGAACTCTGTGAGATGAATGCACACATGATGAAGAAGTTTCTCAGAATGCTTCTGTCTAGTTTTTATATGAAGATATTTCCTTTTTCACCATAGGCCTTCAACCACTCTGAAATATCCCTTTGCAGATTGTAGAAAAAGACTGTTTCAAAAATGCTTAATGAAAAGAAATGTTCAACTCTGTGAGATGAATGCAAACATCACAAATAAGTTCCTCAGAAAGTTTCTGTCTAGTTTTTATGTGAAGATATTTCCTTTTTCACCATGGGCCTCAAAACGCCCCAAATATCCATTTGCAGATTCTACAAAAAGACATTTTCCAAACGGCTCAATCAAAAGAAAGTTTCATCTCTGTGAGATGAATGCACACATCACAAAGTAGTTTCTCTGAATACTTCTGTCTAGTTTTTACATGAAGATATTTCCTTTTTCACCACAGGCCACAGACCTCTCATGAATATCCCTGTGCAGATTCTCCAAAAAGGCTGTTTCCAAACTACTCAATCAAAGGAAAGTTTCGACACTGTCAGATAAATGCACACATCAAAAATAAGTTTTTCAGACAGTTTCTGTCTGGTTTTTATGTGAAGATATATCCTTTTCACAATAGGCCTCAAATCTCCACAAATATCCATTTGTAGATTGTATAAAAAGACTGTTTACAAATGGCTCAATCAAAAGAAAGGTTCAGCTCTGTGAGATGAATGTACACATCACAAAGAAGTTTCTCAGAATGCTTCTGTCTAGTTTTTATGTAAAGATATTTCCTTTTTCACCATAGGCCTCAAAATGCTCAAAAATAACCCTCTGCAGATTCTACTAAAAGATCGTTTCGAAACTGCTCAATCAAAAGACAGGTTCAACTCGGTGAGATGAATGCACACATCACGAAGAAGTTTCTCAGAAACCTTCTGTCTAGTTTGTATGTGAATATATTTCCTGTTTCACCATAGGCCTTAATGGGCTCACAAATATCCCTGTGCAGATTATACAAAAAGAGGGGTTCCAAACTGCTCAATCAAAAGAAAGGTTCAAATCTGTGAGATGAAAGCACACATCACAAAGATTTCTCAAAAGGCTTCTGTCTGGTTTTTACATGAAGATATTTCCTATTTCAACATAGGCCTCAACAGGCTCAAAAATATCTCATTGTGGATACTACAAAAAGAGTGAATCCAAACTGCTCAATCAAAAGAAAGGTTCAACTCTGTGAGATGAATGCACACATCCCAAGAAAGTTTCTCAGAGTGCTTCTGTCTAGTACTTATCTGAAGATATTTCTTTTTCACCAATGGCCTCAAACAGCTCAGAAATACCCCTTTGCATATTGTACAAAAAGACTGTTTCCAAACTGATCAATCAAAAGAAACGTTCAACTCTGTGAGATGAATGCACACATCATAAGTTTCTCATAAAGCTTCTGTCTAGTTTTCATGTGAAGATATTTCCTTTCTCACCATAGGCCTCAAAGCACTCCAAATATCCATTTGCAGATTTTACAAAAAGACTGTTTCCAAACTGCTCAATCAAAAGAAATGTGCAACTCTGTCAGATGAAAGCAAACATCACAAAAAAGTTTCTCAGAATGCATCAGTCTAGTTTTTATGTGAGGGTAATTGCTATTTCACATTAATCCTCAATGGGCTCACAAATATCCCTTTGCAGATTTTATAAAAATACTGTTTCAAAATGGCTCAATCAAAAGAAAGTTCATCTCTGTGAGATGAATGCACACATCACAAAGAAGTTTCTCAGAATGCTTCTGTCCAGTATTTATGTGAAGATATTTCCTTTTTCACCAATGGCCTCAATGGGCTCACAAATATCCATGTGCAGATTGTACAAAAAGACTGTTACCAAACTGCTCAATCAAAAGAAATGTTCGACTCTGTAAGATGAATGCACACATCACAAAGAAGTTTCTCAGAATGCTTGTGTCTTTTTTTTTTGTGATGATATTTTCTTTTTACCATAGGCCTCAAACTGATAATGAATATACTTCTGCAGATTCTACAAAAACACTGCTTCCAAACTGCTTAATCAAAAGAAAGGTTCAACTCTGTGAGATGAAAGCACATATCACCAATAAGTGTCTCAGAATTCTTCTGTCTAGTTTTTATGTGAAGATATTTCCTTTTTCACCATAGACCTCAAGCCACTCACAAATATCCCACTGCAGTTTCTACTAAGAAACTGTTTCCAAATGGCTCAATCAAAAGATAGGTTCAACTCTGTGAGATGAATGCACACATCACAAAAAAGTTTCTCAGAAACCTTCTCTCCAGTTCGTATGTGAATCTATTTCCTATTTCACCATAGGCCACAATGGGCTCACAAATAACCCTGGGCAGATTATACAAAAGGACTGTTTCCAAACTGCTTAATCAAAAGAAACGTTCAACTCTTTGAGATGAAAGCACATATCACAAAGGCGTTTCTCAGAAGACTTCTGTCTAGTTTTTATGTGAAGTTATTTCCTTTTTCTCCATAGACCTCATAGGGCTCACAAATATCCTATTGCAGATTCTACAAAAAGACTGTTTCCAAATTGCTCAATCAAAAGAAATATTCAACTCTGTGAGATAAATTCACACGTCACAAAGAAGTTTCTCAGAATTCTTCTGTCTAGTATTTATCTGTAGATATTTCTTTTTCACCATAGGCCTCAAACTGCTTCAAAATATTTATTTGCAGATTGTACAAAAAGACTGTTTACAAACTACTCAATCAAAAGAAAATTTCATCTCTGTGAGATAAATGCACACGTCACAAAGCTGTTTCTCAGAAATCTTCTGTCTAGTTTTTATATGAAGATATTCCCTTTTCACCATAGGCCTCAGAGCACTCCAAATATCCATTTGCAGATACTATGGAAAGACTGTTTCCAATCTGGTCAATCAAAGGAAATGTGCAACTATGTTAGATGAGAGCACACATCACAAAATGTTTCTTGGAATGCTTCTCTCTACTTTTTATGTGAATGTAATTCCTATTTCACATTAGGCTTCAATCTGCTCATAAATGTCCCTTTGCAGATTTTACAAAAATACCTTTTTGAAACTGAGCAATCAAAAGAATGGGTCAACTCTATGAGATGAATGTACATGTCACAAAGAAGTTTCTCAGAAAGTTTCCGTCTAGTTTTTATGCGAAGATATTTCCTATTTCACCATAGGGCACAAATGGCTCCATATATCCATTTGCAGATTGTACAAAAGGACCGCTTACAACCTGCTCAATCAAAAGAAAGCTTCAACTCTGTGAGATGAAAACACACATTGCAAAGAAGTTTCTATGAAAAATGCCATCTAGTTTTTATGTGAAGATATTTCCTTTTTTAAAATAACCCTCAAAGGACTCACAAAAAACCCTTTGCAGATTTTACCAAAAGACTGTTTCCAAATGGCTCAATCAAAACAAAGGTTCAACTCTGTGAGATGAAATCACACATCACAAAGAACTTCCTCAGAAAGCTTATGTCTAGTTTTTATGTGAAGATATTTCCTTTTTCACCACAGGCCTCAAAGCACTCCAAATATTCATTGGCAGATTCTACAAAAAGACTGTTTCCAAACTGCTCAATCAAAAGAAAGGTGCAACTCTGTCATATGAATGCACACATCAGAAAGAAATTTCTCAGAAAGCTTCTGTCTAGTTTTTATGTGAAGATATTTCCTTTTCCACCATAGGCCTTAATGGGCTCACAAATATCCCAGGGAAGATTATACAAAAAGACTGTTTCCAAACTGCTCAATCACAAAAAATTTCAACTCTGTGAGGTGAATGCATACATCACAAAGAAGTTTCTCAGAATGCTTCTGTCTAGTTTTTATGTGAAGATATTTCCTTTTTCACCATAGGCCTCAAAGCTCTCCAAATATCCACTTGCAATTTCTACAAAAAGACTTTTTCCAAACTGCTCAATCAAAAGAATGGTTCAACTCTGTGAGAAGAAAGCACATATTACAAATAATTTTCTCAAAAGCTTCCATCTAGTTTTTATGTGAAGATACTTCCTATTTCACCGTAGGCCTCAAAGGGCTCACAAATATCTCTTTGCAGATTCTACAAAACATCTGTTTCTAAACTGCTCAATCAAAAGACATATTCATCTCTATGAGATGAATGCACATATCACAAAGAAGTTTCTCAGAATGCTTCTGCCTAGTTTTTAAGTGAAGATATTTCTTTTTTCACCATAGTTCTTAAACCACTCAGAAATATCCCTTTGCAGATTGTACAAAAAGACTGTTTCCAAACTGATCAATGAAAAGAAATAGTCAACACTGTGAGATGAATGCAAACTTCCCAAAGAAGTTTTACATAATTTCTGTCTCGTTTTTACGTGGAGATATTTCCTATTTCACCATAGGCCTCAAACCACTCACAAATATCCGTGTGCAGATTCTAGAAAAAGATTGTTTCAAAACTGCTCAATCAAAAGAAAGGTTCATCTCTGTGAGATGAATGCACACATAACAAAGAAGATTCTCGAAATGCTTCTATTTAGTTTTTATGTGAAGATATTTCCTTTTTCAACATAGGCCACAAAACACTCACGAGTTTCTCTGTGCAGATTCTACAAAAAGACTGTTTCCAAACTGTTCAATCAAAAGTAAGGTTCCACTCTGTCAGATGAATGCATACATCAAAAATAAGTTTCTCAGAAACTTTCTGTCTAGTTTTTATTTGAAGATATTTTCTATTTCACCATAGGGCACAAATGGCTCCATATATCCATTTGCAGATTATACAAAAAGACTGTTTACAAACTGCTCCATCAAAAGAAAGTTTCAACTCTGTGAAATGATAGCATTCATCACAAAGAAGTTTCTAAGAAAGCTTCTGTCTAGTTTTTATGTGAAGATATTTCCTTTTTCACCATAACCCTCAAAGGGCTCACAAATAACCCTTTGCAGATTCTACAAAAAGACTGTTTCCAAACCTCTCAATCAAAAGACAGGTTCAACTCTGTGAGATGAAAGCGCACATCACAAAGAAGTTCCTCAGAAAGCTTATGTCTAGTTTTTATGTGAAGATATTTCCTTTTTCACCATAGGCCTCAAAGCACTCAAATATCTATTTGCAGATTCTACAAAAAGACTGTTTCCAAATTGCTCAATCAAAAGAAAGGTGCAACTCTGTGATATGAATGCACACATCAGAAAGAAGTTTCTCAGAAAGCTTTTATCTAGTTTTTCTGGGAAGATATTTCCTTTTTCACCATAGGTCTTAATGGGCTCACAAATATCCTAGGGAAGATTAAACAAAAAGACTGTTTCCGAACTGCTCAATTAAAAAAAATTTCAACTTTGTGAGATGAATGCACACATCACAAAGAAGTTTCTCAGAATGCTTCTGTCTAGTTTTTATGTGAAGATATTTTCTTTTTCACCATAGGCCTCAAAAAGCTCCAAATATTCATTTGCAGTTTCTACAAAAAGACTTTTTCCAAACTGCTCAATCAAAAGAGTGGTTCAACTCCGTTAGGAGAAAACACATATCACAAAGAAGTTTCTCAGTAATCTTCTGTCTAGTTTTTATGTGAAGATATTTCCTATTTCACCCTAGGCCTCAAAGGGCTCACAAGTATCCCTTTGCAGATTCTACCAAAAGTCTGTTTCTAAACTGCTCAATCAAAAGACTTATTCATCTCTATGAGATATGCACATTACACAAAGAAGTTTATTAGAATGCTTCTGCCTAGTTTTTAAGTGAAGATATTTCCGTATTCACCATAGGCCTTAAACCGCTCAGAAATATCCCTTTGCAGATTGTACAAAAAGACTGTTTCCAAACTGCTCAATGAAAAGAAATGGTCAACTCTGTGAGATGAATGCAAACTTCCCAAAGAAGTTTTTAAAAAAGTTTCTGTCTAGTTTTAATGTGGAGATATTTCCTATTTCACCATAGGCCTCAAACCGCTCACTAATATCCCTTTGCAGATACTAGAAAAAGACTGTTTCCAAACTGCTCAATCAAAAGAAAGGCTAAACTCTGTGAAATGAATGCACACATCACAAATATGTTTCTCAGAATGCTTCTGTCTAGTTTTTATGTGAAGATATTTCCTTTTTCACCATAGGCTACAAACTGCTCACAGATATCCCTGTGCATATTCTACAGAAAGACTGTTTCCAAACTGCTCAATCAAAAGAAAGGAAGGTTCAACTCTGTCAGATGAATGCAAACATCAAAAAGAAGTTTCTCAGAAAGTTTCTGTCTAGTTTTTTTGTGAACATATTTCTTTTTAACAATAGGCCTCAAATCATTACATATATCCCTTTGCAGATTCTACAAAAACACTGTTTACAAACTGCTCCATCAAAAGAAAGGTTCAAATCTGTAAGATGAATGCACACATCACAAAGATGTTTCTCAGAAAGCTTCTGTCTAGTTTTCATGTGAAGTTATTTCCTATTTCACCATAGACCTCAATGGGCTCACCAATATCCCTTTGCAGCTTCTACAAAACGACGGTTTCCAAACTCCTCAATGAAAAGAAAGGTTCAACTCTGTGAAATGAATGCACGCATCACAAAGAAGTTTCTCAGAATGCTTCTGTCTAGTTTTTATGTGAAGATATTTCTTTTTCATAACAGGACTCAAACCACTCAGGAATATCCCTCTGCAGATTCTACAAATGTCTGTTTCCTGTTGGGAAATGAAAGATAGATCAGATTGTTACTGTGTCTCTGTAGAAATAAGTAGACATAGGAGACTACATTTTGTTCTGTACTAAGAAAGATTATTCTGCCTCGAGATGCTGTTAATCTGTAACCTTACCCCGAAAACCATGTGCTCCCTGAAATGAGTGCTGTGGCAACTCAGGGTTAAATTGATCAAGGGCTCTACAAGATGTGCTTTGTTTAACAGATGCTTGAAGGCAGCATCCTCTTTAAGAGTCATCACCACTCCCTAATCTCAACTATCCAGGGACACAAACACTGGAAGGCCACAGGGACCTTTGCTTAAGAAAGCCAGGTATTGTCCAAGGTTTATCCCCATGTGACAGTCTGAAATATGGCCTCGTAGGAAGGGAAAGACCTGACCATCCCCCAGCCCAACACCCCTACTGGGTCTGTGCTGAGGAGGATTACTATAAGAGGAAGGAATGCCTCTTTGCAGTTGAGACAAGAGGAAGGCATCTGTCTCCTGACCTTCCTTGGGCAATGGAATCTCTCGGTATAAAACCCAATTGTATGTTCCATCTACAGAGATAGGGGAAAACCACCTTAGGGCTTGAGGTGGGACACGTGGGCAGCAATACAGATCTGTAAGGCCCTGAGATGTTTAGGTATATGCATATCTAAAGCACAGAAATTAAATCTTTACATTGTCTATGATGGAGAGACCTTTGTTCACGTGTTTATCTGCTGACCTTCTCTCCATTATTATCCTAAGAACCTGCCACATCGCTCTCTCTGAGAAACACCCAAGAATGGTCAATAAATACTAAGGGAACTCAGAGGCCAGCGGGATCCTCCATATGCTGAATGCTATTCCCCTGGGCCCCCTTAATTCTTTCTCTATACTTTGTCTCTGTGTCTTTTTCTTTTCCAAGTCTCTCATTCTACCCAATGAGAAAAACCCACAGGTATGAAAGGGTAACTCATCTCTTCATTTCTAAACTGCTCAATGAAAACAAAGGTTCCACTCTGTAAGGTGAAAACACACATCACAAAGAAGTTTCCCAGAAAGATTCATTCTTGTTTTTATGTGAAGATATTTACTTTAACACCATAGTTCTCAAAGCACTCCAAATATCCTTTTGCAGATTATACAAAAAGACTGTTTCCAAACTGCTCAATCAAAAGAAAGGTTGAACTCTGTGAGATGAATGAACCAATCACAAAGCAATTTCTCAGAAAGCTTCTGTCTAGTTTTTCTGTGAAGATATTTCATATTTCACAGTGGGTCTCAAAGGGCTCACAAATATCCCTTTGCCGATTCTACAAAAGGACTCTTTCCAAACTATTCAATCAAAAGAAAGGTTCAACTCGGTGAGATGAATGCACACATCACAAAGAAGTTTCTCAGAATGCTTCTGTCTAGTTTTTATGTGAAGATATTTCCTTTTTCACCATAGTCCTTAAACTGGTCACAAATCTCCCTCTGCAGACACTACAAAAGGACTGTTTCCAAACTGCTCCATCAAAAGAAAGTTTCAACTCCCTGAGATGAATGCACACATCACAAAGGAGATTCTCAGAATGATTCTGTCTAGTTTTTATGTGAAGATATTTTCTTTCTTACCATAGGCACCAAAGCATTCCAAATATCCATTGCAGATTCTACAAAAAGACTGTTTCCAAACTGCTCAATCAAAAGAAAGTTTCAGCTCTGTGAAATGAATGCACACATCACAAGGAAGTTTCTCAGAAAGATTCTGTCTGGTTTTTATGTGAAGATATTTCCTTTTTCACCGAAGGCCTCAATAGGCTCAAAAATATCCCTATGCACAATCTACAAAAGGACCGTTTCCAAACTGTTCAATCAAAAGAAGTGTTCAACTCTGTGAGATGAATCCACGCATTGAATGAAGTTTCTCAGAATATTTCTTTCTAGTTTTTATGTGGAGATATTTCCTTTTTCACCATAGGCCTCAAAGCGCTCCAAGTGTCCATTATCAGATTCTACAAAAAGACTCTTTCCAAACTGCTCAATCAAAAGAAAGTTTGAACTCTGTGAGATGAAAACAGGAAACCCAAAGAAGTTTCTCAGAAAGCTTCTGTCTAGTTTTTAAGTGAAGATATATCCTATTTCACCATAGGGCATAAAGGGCTCAGAAGTATCCCTCTGCAGATACTATGAAAATACGGTCTCCAAACTACTCCATCAAAGGAAAGCTTCAACTCTGTGAGATGAAAGCACACAACACAAAAATGTTTCTTAGAAACCTTCTGTCTAGCTTTTATGTGAAGATATTTCCTATTTCACCATAGGCCTAAAAGGGCTCAAATATATCCCATTCAATATTCTACAAAAGGACTGTTTCCCAACTGTTCAGTCAAAAGAAATGTTCAAATCTGTGAGATGAATGCACACATCACAAAGAAGTTTCTCAGAATGCTTCTGTCTAGTTTTTAAGTGAAGATATTTCCTTTTTCAACATAGGCCCCAAAGTGCTCCGAATATCCATTTGCAGATTCTACAAAAAGACAGTTCCCAAACTGCTCAATAAAAGGAAAGTTTCAACTCTGTGAGGTGAATGCACATATCACAAAAAGTTTCTCAGAAAGCTTCTGTTTAGTTTTTATATGAAGATATTTCATTTCCTAACTAACGTAGGCCTCGAAGTTCTCTAAATATCCATTTGCAGATTCTACAGAAAGAGTGCTTGCAAACTGCTCAATCAAAGGAAATTTTTAACACTGTGAGATGAATGAACACATCACAAAGAAGTTTCTCAAAATGCTTCTGTCGACTTTTTATGTGAAGACATTTCCTTTTTCACCAAAGGCCTTAAATGGCTCACAAATATCTCTCTGCAGATACTACAAAATACTATTTTCAAACTGCTCCATGAACAGAAAGGTTCAACTCTGTGAGATGAATGCACACATCACAAAGAAGTTTCTCAGAATTCTTCAGTCTAGTTTTCATGTGAAGATATTTCCTTTTTCACCCTAGGCCTCAAAGCGCTCCAAATATCCATTTGCAGACACTACAAAAGGCCTGTTTCCAAACTACTCAAACAAAAGAAAGGTTCAACTCAGTGAGATGAAAGCACACGTCACAAAGATGTTTCTCAGAAAGCTTCTGTCTAGTTTTTATGTGAAGATATTTCCTGTTTCACTATGGGCCATAAAGGGCTCACAAATATCCCTCTGCAGATTCTAAGAAAATATTGTGTCCAAACAGCTCAATCAAAAGAAAGATTCAACTCTGTGAGATGAATGGACAAATCACAAAACGTTTCTCAGAATGCTTCTGACTAGTTTTTATGTGAAGATTATTCATTTTCACCATTGGCCTTAAACAGCTCGGAAATATACCTTTGCTGATTCTACAAAAAGATTGTTTCCAAACTGCTCAATCAATAGAAAGGTTCAACTCTGTGAGATGAATGCAGGTGTCACAAAGAAGTTTCTCAGAATGCTTCTGTCTAGCTTTTATGTGGAGATATCTCCTACTTCACCATAGGCCTTCGAGGACTCACAAATGTCCGTCTGCAGATTCTTCAAAAGGACTCTTTCCAAACTGCTCAATCAAAAGAAAGGTTCAACACTGTGAGATGAATGGACTTATCACAAAGTAGTTGCGCAGAATTCATCTGTCTAGTTTATATGTGAAGATATTTCCTTTTTCACCATACGACATCAAGGGCTCACAGATATCCCTCTACAGTTTCTTTGAAAAGACTGTTCACATAGAGCTCAATGAAAAGAAAGGTTCAACTCTGTGAGACGAAGGGACACATCACACATCACAAAGAAGTTTCTCAGAATGCTTTTGTCTAGTTTTATATGAAGATATTTATTTTTCATCATAGGCCTCAAACGGCTCAGAAATATCCCTTTGCAGAATGTACAAAAAGAGTGTTTCCAGACTGCTCAATCAAAAGAAAGTTCAACTCTGTGAGATGAATGCAGGCATCACAAAGAAGTTTCTGAGAATTCTTCTGTCTAGTTTTTATCTGAAGATATTGCCTTTTTCACAATAACTGACAAAGCAGTGCAAATATCCATTTGCAGATTCTACAAAAAGACAGTTTCCAAACTGCTCAATCAAAAGAAAGTTTCAACCCTGTGAGGTGAATGCTGGCAACAGAAGGAAATTTCACAGAATGCTTCTGTCTAGTTTTCATATGAAGATATTACCTTTTTCACCATAGGCCTCCAAGAGCTCCAAATATCCCTTTGCAGATTCTACGGAAAGACTCTTTACAAACTGCTCAATAAAAAGAAATGTTCAACTCTGTGAGAGGAGAGCATACATCACAAAGAAGTTTCTCAGAAAGTTTCTGTTTAGTTTTTGTGTGAAGATATTCTCTGTTTCACCATAGACAGTCAAGGTCTTACAAATATCCCTTCGCAGATTCTACAAAAAGACTGTTTCCAAACTGCTCAATCAAAAGAAAGGTTCAACTCTGTGCGATGAATGCACATGTAACAAAGAAGTTTCTCTGAATGCTTCAGTCTTGTTTGTTTGTGATGATATTTCCTTTTTCACCATGGTCCTTAAACTGTTAACAAATATCCCTCTGCAGATACTACAAAAAGAATGTTTCCAAACTAGTGAATCAAAAGAAAAGTCCAACTCTGTGAGATGAAAGCACACATCACAAGGAAGTTTCTCAGAAAGTTTCTGTCTAGTTTTTATGTGAAGATATTTCATTTTTCACGGAAGGCCTCAAAGCGCTACAAATCTCCAGTTGCAGATCATACAAAAAGTCTGTTTCCAAGCTGCTCAATCTAAAGAAAGGTTCAATTCTACGAGATGAATGCCAATATCACAAAGACGTTTCTCAGAATGTTTCTGTCTAGTTTTTATGTGAAGATATTTCCGTTTTCACCATAGGACTTAAACAGCTCAGAAATATCCCTCTGCAGTTACCACAAAAAGACTGTTTCCAAACTGCTCCATCAAAAGAAACATTCAACTCTTCCAGATGAATGCACAAACCACAAAGAAGTTTCTCAGAATGCTCCTGTCTAGTTTTTATGTGAAGATATTTCCTTTTACTAGGCCTGAAAGAGCTCAAAATATCCATTTGCCCTTTCCACAGAAATACTTTTTCTAAACTGCTCAATCAAAACAAATGTTCAACTCAGTGAGAAGAAAGCACATATCACAAAAATTTCTCACTGTGCTTTGGCCTAGTTTTTATGTGGAGACATTTCCTATTTCACCATAGACCTCAGACTGCTCACAAGTATCACTGTGCAGATTCTACACAACGAGTGTTTCCAAACTGCTCAATCAAAAGACAGTTTCAACTCTGTGAGATGAATGGACACATCACAAAGAAGTTTCTCAGAATGCTTCTGTCTAGTTTTTATGTGAAGATATTTCCCATTTCAACATAGGCCTCAATGGACTCACAAATATTTCTGTGCAGATTACACAAAAAGACTGTTTCCAAATTGCTCAATCAAAAGAAAAGTTGAACTCTGAGGGATGAATGCACACATCACTAAGAAGTTTCTCAGAATGCTTCTGTCTAGTTTTTATGTGAAGGTGTTTCCTTTTTCACCATAGGCCCCAAAGCGATCTAAAAACCCATTTGCAGATACTACAAAAAGATTGTTTCCAAACTACTCAATCAAAAGAAAGTTCAACTCTGTGAGTTGAGTGCACACATCACAAAGAATTTTCTGAGAATGCTTCTGTCTAGTTTTTATGTGAACATATTTCTTTTTCCACCATAGGCCTCAAAGCGCTACAAATATCCACTTGCAGATTCTACAAAAAGAGTGTTTCAAAACTGCTCAATCAAAAGAAAACTTCAACTCTGTGAGATGAATGCACACATCACAAAGAAATTTCTCAGAATGCTTCTGTGTAGTTTTTATGTGAAGATATTTCCTTTTCAGCTTCAGCGTTAAAGCGTTCCAAATATCCATTTGCAGATACAACAAAAAGAGTGTTTCGAAACTGTTCAATCAAAAGAAAGGTTCAACTCTGTGATATGAATGCTCACATTACAAAGAAATTTCTGAGAATGCTTCTGTATAGTTTTAATATGAAGATATTTCCTTTTCCACCATAGGCCGCTAAGGATTCCAAATATCCACTTGCAGATTCTACAAAAGAGAGTTTCAAAACTGATCTATCAAAAGATAGTTTCAACTCTGTGATTTGAATGCACACATCACAAAGAAGTTTCTAAGAATGCTTCTGGGTATTTTTTAAGTAAAGACATATCCTTTTCCACTATAGGCCACAAAAGACTCTGAATATCCACTTCCAGATTCTACAAAAAGAGAGTTTCAAAACTGCTCGACGAAACATAGGTTCAACTCCTGAGATGAATACACACATCACAAAGAAGTTTCTCAGAATGCTTCCATGTAATTTGTATGTGAAGATATTTCCTTTCCCACCAAAGGCCTCAAAGCGCTTCAAATATCCAATTGTAGATTCCACGAAAAGACTGAGACAAAACTGCTCAATCAAAAGAAAGGTGGAACTCTGTGAGTTGAATGCACACATCACAAAGACGTTTGTGAGAATGCTTCTGTGTAGTTCTTATGTGAAGATATTTCCTTTTCCACAATAGGCCTCAAAGTGCCCCAAATACCCCCTTACAGATCCTACAAAAAGACTGTTTGGAAACAGCTCAATCAAAGGAAAAAATTAACTCTGTGAGATGAATTCACACATCACAAAGAACTTTCTCTGAATGCTTCTGTGTAGTTTTCATGGGAAGATATCTCCTTTTCCACCATCTGACACAAAGGGCTCTAAATAACCAATTGCAGTTTCTACAAAAAGAGGGTTTCAAAACTGTGCAATCAAAAGATACGTTCAACTCTGCGTGTTGAATGCAAACATCACAAAGAAGTTTCTCAGAATGCTTCTGTGTAGTTTTTAATTAAAGATATTTCCTTTACCATGATAGACCCCAAAGCACTCCAAATATCCACTTGCAGATTCTATGAAAAGAGTATTTCAAAACTGCTCAATCAGAAGAAAGGTTCAATTCTGTGAGATGAATGCACACAAAACAAAGAAGTTTCTGAGAATGCTTCTGTGTAGTTTTTATGTGAAGATATTTCCTTTTCCACAATAGGCCACAAAGCACTCCAAATATCCACATGCAGATTCTATAAAAAGAGTGTTTCAAAAATGCTCAATGAAATGAAAGTTTCAACTCTGTGACACGAATGCACACATCACAAAGTAGTTTCTCAGAAAGCTTCTGGGTAGTTTTTATGGGAAGATATTTCTTTTTCCACCATCGGCCACAAATGGCTACAAATAACGACTTGCAGATTCTACAAAAAGAGAGTTTCAAAACTCCTCTACCAAAGATAGGTTCAGGTCTGTGAGTTGAAGGCACACATCACAAAGAAGTTTCTGAGAGTGCTTCTGTGTGGTTTTTATGTGAAGAGATTTCCTTTTCTGCAACAGGCCTCAAAGCTCTCCAAATACCCACTTGCAGATTCTACAAAAAGAGTGTTTCAAAACTGCTCAATCAAATGAAATATTCAACTCTGTGAGATGAATGCACACATCACAAAGAAGTTTGTGAGAATGCTTCTGTGTAGTTTTTAAGTGAAGATATTTCCTTTTCCACAATAGGCCTCAAAGCGCCCCAAATATCCCCTTGCAGAATCTACAAAAAGTGTTTCAAACCTGGTCCATCAAATGAAATATTTAAGTCTGTGAGACGAATTCACACATCACAGAGAACTTTCACTGAATGCTTCTGTGTAGTTTTCATGGGAAAATATTTTCTTTTCCAACATAGGCCACAAAGGGCTCCAAATAACCACTTGCAGATTCTACAAAAAGTGAGTTTCAAAACTGCTCTATCAAAAGCCAGGTTCAACTCTGCCAGTTGAATACACATATCACAAAGAAGTTTCTCAAAATGCTTCTGTGTAGTTTTTATGTGGAGATATTACCTTTTCCACCAATGGCCTCAAAGTGCTCCAAATATCCACTTGCAGATTATATGAAAAGTGTGTATCAAAGCTGCTCAGTCAAAACAAAATTTCAACTCTGTGGGATGAATGCAAACATTGCAAAGAAGTTTCTCAGAATGCTTCTGAGTAGTTTTTATGTGAAAATATGTCCTTTTCCTCGTTAGGCCTCAAATCGCTCCAAATATCCACTTGCAGATTCTACAAAAAGAGAGTTTCACTACTGCTCCATCAAAAGATAGGTTCAACTCTGTGAGATGAATGCACACATCACAAAGAAGTTTCTCAGAATGCTTCTGTGTAGTTTTTATGTGAAGATATTTCCTTTTCCACCATAGGTCTCAATGTGCTCCAAATATCCTCTTGCAGATTCAGAAAAAGAGTGTTTCCAAACTGCTCAATCAAAAGAAAGGTTCAACTCTGTGAGTTGAATGCACACATCACAAAGAAGTTTCTCAGAATGCTTCCGTGTAGTTTTTATTTGAAGATATTTCCTTTTCCACCACAGGCTTCAAACTGCTCCAAATATCTACTTGTAGATTCTACAAAAAGAGTGTCAAAATTGCTCTATCAAAAGATATGTTCAACTCTGTGAGTTGAATACACACATCATGATGAAGTTTCTCAGAATGCTTCTGTGTAGTTTTTATATGAAGATGTTTCCTTTTCCACTAAAAGCCTGCAAAGGGCTCCAAATATCCACTTGCAGATTCTACAAAAAGAGAGTTTCAAAACTGCTCTATGAAAAGATATGTTCAACTCTGCGAGTTGAATGCACGCATCACAAAGAAGTGTCTCAGAATGCTCTGTGTTGTTTTTATGTGAAGATGTTTCCTTTTCCACAATAGGCTGCAAAGTGCTCCAAATATCCACTTGCAGATTCTACAAAAAGAGAGTTTCAAACTGCTCTATGAAAAGACAGGTTCATCTCTGTGGGATGAATGCACACATCACAAAGAAGTTTCTCAGAATGCTTCTGTGTAGTTTTTATGTGAAGATATTTCCTTTTCCTCTTCAGGCCTCAAATATCTCCAGATATCCACTTGGAGATACTACAAAAAGAGTGCTCCAAAACTGCTCATTCAAAAGGAAGTTTCAACTCTGTGAGATGAATGCACACATCACAAAGAAGTTTCTGAGAATGCTACTGTGTAGTTTTTATGTGAAGATATTTCATTTTCCACAATACGCCTCAAAGCCCTCCAAATATCAACTTGCAGATTCTACGAAAATGTGTTTCAAAACTGCTCAATCAAATGAAATGTTCAACTCTGTGAAATGAATGCACTCATCACAAAGAAGTTTCTCAGAATGCTTCTCTGTAGTTTTTATGGGAAGATATAACTTTTTCCACCATCGGTCATAAAGGCCTCAAAATATCTACTAGCAGATTCTACGGAAAGAGAATTTCAAAACTGCTCTATCAAAAGATAGTTTCAACTCTGTGAGATGAATGAACAGATGACAAAGAACTTTCCAGAATGCTTCTGTGTATTTTTTATGTGAAGATATTTACATTCCCACCATAGGCCGTAAAGGGCTCCAAATATCCACATGCAGATTCTACAAAAAGAGAGTTTCAAAACTGCTCTATCAAAAGATAGATTCACCTCTGTGGGATGAATGCACACATCAGAAAGAAGGTTCTCAGAATGTTTCTGTGTAGTTTTTATGTGAAGATAGTACGTTTTCCACTATAGGTCTCAAAGCGCTCCAAATTTCTGCTTGCAGATTCTACAAAAAGATTGTTTCGAAACTGCTCAATTGAAAGAATGGGTCAATTCTGTGAGATTTATGCACACATCACTAAGAAGTTTCTCGGAATGCTTCTGTGTAATTTTTATGTGAAGATATTTCCTTTTCCACAATAGGCCTCCAAGGGCTCCAAATATCCACTTGAAGATTTACCTAAAAGAGTGTTTCCAAACTGATCAATCAAAAGAAATGTTCAGCTCTTTGAGATGAATGCACATATCACAAAATAGTTTCTCAGACTGAGTCTATGTAGTTTCTATGTGAAAATATTTCTTTTTCCACCACAGGCCTCAAAGCACACCAAATACTCCCTTGCAGATTCTATGAAAATAGTGTTTCAAAACTGCTCAATCAAAATAAAGGTTCAACTCTGTGAGATGAACGAACACATCACAAAGAAGCTTCTCAGAATACTTCTGTGTAGATTTTATGTGAAGATATTTCCTTTTCTACAATAGGCCACAAAGGGCTCCAAATAACCACTTCCAGATTCCACAAAAAGTGTGTTTCAAAACTGCTCAATCAAAAGAAGGGTTCAACTCTGTGAGATGAATGCAAACAAAACAAAATAGTTTATTAGAATGCTTCTGTGTAGTTTTTATATGAAGACAATCCTTTTCCACAATAGGCCTCAAAGCGTTCCAAATATCCACCTGCAGATTCTACAAAAAGAGTTTTTCAAAACTGCTCAATCAAATGAAAGTTTCAACTCTGTGAGGTGAAGGCACTCATCACAAAGAAGTTTCCCAGAATGCTTCATTGTAACTTTAATGGGAAGATATTTCCTTTTCCACCATTGGCCACAAAGGGTTCCAAATAAACACTTGCAGATTCTATAAAAAGAGAGTTTCAAAAATGCACTATCAAAACATAGGGTCAACTCTGCGAGTTCAATGCACACATCACAGAATAGTTCTGCAGAATGCTTCTGTGTAGTTTTTATGTGAAGATATTTCCTTTTCCACTATAGGCCTCAAAGCGCTCTAAATATGCACTTGCAGTTTCTACAAAAAGAGTGTTTCAAAACTGCTCAATCAAAAGAAAGTTTCAACTCTGTCAGATGAATGCACACATCACAAAGAAGTTTCTCAGAATGCTTCTGTGTAGTTTTTAGGTGAAGATATTTCCTTTTCCACAATAGGACTCAAACTGCTCCAAATATCCACTTGCAGATACTACAAAAAGAGTGTATCCAAATGACTCAATCAAAAGAGAATCTCAACTCTGTGAGATGAATGCACACATCACAAAGAAGTTTCTCAGAATGCATCTGTGTAGTTTTTAGGTGAAAATATTTCCTTTTTCACCATAGGCTGCAAAGGGCTCCCAATAACCACTTGCAGATACTAGAAAAAGAGAGTTTCAAAACTTTTCTATCAAAAGATAGGTTCAACTCTGTGAGATGAATTTGCACATCACAAACTAGTTTCTGAAAATGCTTCTGTGTAGTTTTTATGTGAAGTTATTTCCTTTTCTACAGTAGGGCTCAAAGCGCTCTGAATATCCACTTGCAGATTCTACAAAAAGAGTGTTACAAAACTGCTCATAAAATTAAATGTTCAACTCTGTGAGATGAATGCACACATCACAATGTAGTTTCTCAGAATGCTTATGTGTAGTTTTTATGTAAAGATATTTACTTTTCCACCATAGGCCATAAAGGGCTCCAAATAATCACATGCAGATTCTACAAAAAGAGTTTCAAAACTGGTCTATCAAAAGATAGGTTAACTTCAGTGAGATGAATGCACACATCACAAAGAAGATTCTCAGAATGCTTCTGTGTAGTTTTTATGTGAAGATATTTCCTTTTAGACAATAGACCACAAATCGCTCCAAATATCCACTTGGAGGTTCTACAAAAAGAGTGTTGCCAAACTACTCAATCAAAAGAGAGTTTCAACTCTGTGAGATGAATGCACACACCACAAAGATGTTTCTCAGAATGATTCTGTGTAGTTTTTATGTGAAGATATTTCCTTTTCCACATTAGGCCTCCAAGGGCTCCAAATATCCACTTGCAGATTCTACTAAAATAGAGTGTTCCAAACTGCTCAATCAAAAGAGTTTTAACACTGTGAGATGAATGCACACATCACAAAGAAGTTTCGGGGAGTTTTTCTGTGTAGTTTTTATGTGAAGAGATTTCCTTTTCCACCTTTGGCAACAAAGGGCTCCAAATAACCACTTGCAGACTCTACAAAAAGTGAGGTTCCAAACTGCTCTATGAAAAGATAGGTTCAGCTCTGCTAGTTGAATGTACACAATCAGAAAGAAGCTTCTCAGAATGCCTCTGTGTAGTTTTTATGTTAAGATATCTCCTTTTCTGCCATAGGCGTCAAACGGCTCCAAATATCCACTTGCAGATTCTTCCAAAAGAGTGTTTCAAAATTGCTCAATCAAAAGAAAAGTTCAACTCTTTGAGATGAATGAACACTAAACAAAGGAGATTCTGAGAATGCTTCTGTGCAGTTTTTAAGTGAAGATATTTCCTTTTCCACAATAGACCTCAAAGCGATCCAAATGTCCACTTGCAGATTCTACAAAAAGAGAGTTTCAAAACTGCTCTATCAATAGATAGGTTCAACTCTGTGAGTTGAATGCACACATCACAAAGAAGTTTCTCCGAATGCTTCTGTGTAGTTATTATGTGAAGATATATACTTTTCCACCGTAGGCTACAAAGTGTTCCAAATATCCACTTGTAGATTCTACATAAAGACAGTTTGAAATCTCTTCTATCAAAGGATAGTTTCAACTCTGTGAGATGAATGCACACATCACAAAGAAGTTTCTCAGAATGCTTCTGTGTAGTTTTTATTTGAAGATATTTCGTTTTCAACCATAGGCCTCAAAGTGCTCCAATTATCCATTTGCAGATTCTACAAAAAGTGCGTTTCAAAACTCTTCAATCAAAAGAAATGTTCAACTCTGTGACATGAATGTGCACATCACAAAGAAGTTTCTCAGGATGCTTCTGTGTAATTTGTATGTGAAGACATTTCATTTTCCACAAAATTGTTCCTTGGGCTCCAAATATCCACTTGCAGATTCTACTAAAAGAGTGTTTCCAAATTGCTCAGTGAAAAGAAAGGTTCAAATCTGTGATATGAATACACACAAAGCAAAGAAGTTTCTGAGAGTGCTTCTGTGTAGTTTTTATGTGAAGATATTTCCATTTCTACAATAGGCCTCAAAGCGCTCCAAATATCAACTTGCAGATTCTACTAAAAGAGTGTTTCCAAACTGCTCAATCAAATGAAATGTTAAACTCAGTGAGATGAATGCACACATCAAAAAAAAAAAAAAAAAAAAAAACTCTCTCAGAATGCCTCTGTGTATTTTTTGTGAAGATATTTCCTTTTCCTTCCTATTCCTCAAAGCGCTCCAAATATCCACTTGCATATTTTACAAAAAGAGTGGTTCACACTGCTTTATCAAAATATAGCTTCAACTCTGTGAGTTGAATGTACACACCACAAACAAGTTTCTCAGAATGCTTCTGTGTAGCTTTTATGTGAAGACATTTCCTTTTCCACCATAGGCCTCAAAGCTCTCCAAATATCCACCCTGCAGATTGCACGAAAGAGTGTTTCAAAACTAGTCAATCAAAAGAAAGGTTCAACACTGTGAGATGAATGCACACATCACAGAGAAGATTCTCAGAATGTTTCTATGTAGTTTTCATGTGAAGATATTTCCTTTTCCACCATAGGCCACAAAAGGCTCCAAATATGTACTTGCAGATTCTACAAAAAGGGAGTTTCAAAACTGCTCTACCAAAAGACACGTTTAACTCTGCAAGATGAATGCACTCATCACAAAGAAGTTTCTCAGAATGCTTCTGTGTAGTTTTTATGAGAAGATATTTCCTTTTCCACAATAGGCCACAAATCGCTCCAAATATCCACCTGCAGATTTTACAAAAAGAGTTTTTCAAAACTACTCAATGAAAAGAAAGTTTCAACTCTGTGAGATGAATGCACACATCACAAAGAAGTTTCTCAGAATGCTTCTGTGTAGTTTTTATGTGAAGATATTTCCTTGTCCACCATTGGCCTCAAAGTGTTCCAAATATCCCCTTGCCGATTATACAAAAAGAGGATTTCCAAACTGCTCTGTCAAAAGAAAGTTTCATCTCTGTGAGATGAATGCAGACTTCAAAAGGAAGTTTCTCGGATTGCTTCTGTGTAGTTTTTATGTGAAAGTATTTCCTTTTCCACCTTAATCCTCAAAGCACTCCAAATATCCACTTGCAGATACCACAAAAAGAGTGTTTCCAAACTGCCCAATCAAAGAAAGGTTCAGTCCTGTGAGATGAATTCTCACATCACAAAAAAGTTCCTCAGAAGACGTCTGTGTATTTTTTTTATGTTTAGATATTTCCTTTTAAAGCATAGGCTGCACAGGGCTCCAAATATCGACCTGCAGATTCCAGAAAAAGAGAGTTTCAAAATTGCTCAATCAAAAGAAAGGTTCAACCCTTTCAGACGAATGCAAACGAAACAAAGAAGTTTCTGAGAATTCTTCTGTAGATTTTTTGTGAGGATATTTCCTTTTTCACAAAAGGCTTTAAAGTGCTCCAAATATCAAATTTCAGATCCTACAAAAAGAGTGTTTCAAAATTCCTCAATCAAATGAAAGGTTCAGCTCTGGGAGATGAATAAACACATCACAAAGAAGTTTCTCAGACTGCTTCTGTCTAGTTTTTAGGTGAAGATATTTCCTTTTACAGCATAGATCACAAAAGGCTCCAAATATCCACTTGCAGAATTTACAAAGACAGAGTTACAAAACTGCTCTATGAAAAGATAGGTTCAACTCTGTGAGTTGAATGCACACTTCACAAAGTAGTTTCTCAGAATGCTTCTGTGTAGTTTTTATGTGAAGATAATTCATTTTCCACCTTAGTCCTCAAAGCGCTGCAAATATCCACCCTTAGGTTCCTCAAAAAGAGTGTTTAAAAACTGCTCAATAAAAAGAAAGTTTCCAGTCTCTGAGGTAAATGCACATATCACAAAGAAGTTTCTCAGAATGCTTCTGTGTAGTTTTTATGTGAAAAGATTTCCTTTTCCACAATAGACCTCCCATGGCTGAAAATACACACTTGCAGAGTCTACTAAAAGAGTGTTTGCAAACTGCTCAATAAACAGAAAGATTCATCTCTGTGAGGTGAATGCACACATCACAAAGAAGTTTTTCAGAATGCTTCTGTGTAGTTCTTAAAAGAAGATATTTCATTTTATCACCATAGGCCTCAAAATGCTGCAAATATCCACTTGCAGATGCTACGAAAAGAGTGTTCACAACTGCTCAATCAAAAGGAAGATTCAGCTCTGTGAGATGAATGCACACATCACAAAGAAGTTTCTCAGAATGTTTCTGTGTAGTTTTTATGTAAACATATTTCATTTTCCACCAAAGAACTCAAAGTGCTCCGAATATCCACCTGCAGATTCTACAAAAACAGTGTTTCAAAACTGCTCAATCAAAAGAAAGGTTCAACCTTATGAGTTGAATGCACTCATCACAAAGAAGTTTCTGAGAATGCTTCTGTCTAGTTTTTCTGTGAAGATATTTCCTTTTCCACCATCAGCCACAAAGGGCTCCGAATAACCACTTGCAGATTCTACAAAAAGAGTGTTTCAAAGCTGCTCAATCAAATGAAAGGTTCAACTCTGTGAGGTGAATGCACACATCAAAAAGAAGTTTCTCAGAATGCTTCTGTGTAGTTTTTATCAGAAGATATTTCCTTTTCCACCATCGGCCAAAAAGGTCTCCACATAACCCCTTCTAGATTCTACAAAAAGAGAGTTTCTAAACTGCACTATAACAAGATAGGTTCAAACCTGGGAGTTGAATGCACACATCACAAAGAAGTTTCTCTGAATGCTTCTGTGTAGTTTTTATGTGAAGATATTTCCTTTTCCACCATAGGCCTCGAAGCGCTCCAAATATTAAATTTCAGATTCTACGAAAAGAGTGTTTCAAAACTGTTCAATGAAAAGAAAGGATCAACTCTATGAGATGAATGCACACATGACAAAGAAGTTTCTCAGAATGCTTCTGTGTAGTTTTTATGTGAAGCTATTTCCTTTTCTACAATAATCTTCAAAGCGTTCTAAATATCCACTTGCAGAATCCATGAGAAGAGTGTTTCAAAACTCCTCAATTAAAAGAAAAGTTCAACGCTGTGAGATGAACACACACATCAAAAAGAAGTTTCTCAGAATGCTTCTGTGTAGCTTTTATGTGAAGATATTTCCTTTTAAACGATAGGCTTCAATGCGTTCCAAATATCCACTTACAGATTGTACTACAAGATTGTCTCAAAACTGCTCAATCAAAGAAAGGTTCAACTCTGTGTGATGAATGCACACATCACTAAAAAATTTCTAAGAAGGCTTCTGTGTAGTTTTTTCATGAAGATATTTCCTTTTCCACAATACATCTCAAAGCACTCAAAATATCCACCTGCAGATTCTACAAAAAGAGTCTTTCAAAACTCCTCAATGAAATGAAATATTCAACTCTGTGAGTTGAATGCACACATCACCAGGAAGTTTCTCAGAATGTTTCTGTGTAGTTTTTATGGGAACATATTTCCTTTTCCATCATCGGTCAAAAGGGCTCCAAATAACCACCTGCAGATTCTACAAAAAGAGAGTTTCAAAACTACTCTATCAAAAGAAACGTTCAACTCTGTTAGTTGAATGCACACATCACAAAGAAGTTCCTGAGAATGCTTCTGTTTACTTTTCAGGTGAGGATATTTCCTTTTCCACCATAGGCCTTAAAGCGCTCCAAATATCTACTGGCAGATTCTACAAAAAAGAGTGGTTCAAAACTGTTCTATCAAAAGATAGGTTCAATTCTGTGAGTTTAATGCACATATCACAAAGAAGTTTTTCAGAATGCTTCTGTGTAGTTTTATCTGAAGATACATCCTTTTCCCCCATGTGCCTCAAAGTGTTACAAATATCCTCTTGCAGATTCTATGAAAAGAGTTTCCAAACTGCTCAATCAAAAGAAATATTCAGCATTGTAAGATGAATGCACACATCACAAAGAAGTTTCTCAGAATGCTTCTGTGTAGTTTTTATATGAAGATATTTTCTTATCCAAAATAGGTCTCAAAGCACTCCAAATATCCACTTGCAGATACTAAAAAAAGAGTGTTTCCAAACTAATCAATCAAAAGAGAGGTTCAACTCTGTGAGATGAATGCACACATCACAAAGAAGTTTCTCAGAATTCTTCTGCGTAGTTTTAATGTGAAGATATTGTCTTTTCCACCATAAGGTGCAAAGGGATCCAAATATACACTTGCAGACTCTTAAGAAAGAGAGTTTCAAAACTGCTCTATCAAAATATAGGTTCAACATTGTGAGATGAATGCGCACATCACAAAGAAGTTTCTCAGAATGATTCTGTGTAGTTTTAATGTGAAGAAATTTCCTTTTCAACCATAGGCCACAAAGGACTCCAATTATCTTCTTGCAGATTCTACAAAAAAGAGTTTCAAAACTGCTCTATCAAAAGATATGTTCAACTCAGTGAGATGAATGGGCATATCACAAAGAAGTTTCTCAGAATTCTTCTGTATAGTTTTTATTTGAAGATATTTCCTTTTCCACCATAGGCCTCAAAGTGCTCCAAATATCCACTTGGAGATTCTACAAAAAGAGTGTTTCAAAACTGCTCAATCAAAAAGAAAAGGTTCAACTCTGTGAGATGTATGCACACATCACAAAGCAGTTTCTCAGAATGCTTAGTGTAGTTTTTATGTGAAGATATTTTCTTTTCCAACATAGGATGCAAAGGGCTCCAGATATCCAATTGCAGATTCTATAAAAAGAGAGTTTCAAAACTGCTTAATCAAAAGATCGTTTCAACTATGAGAGATGAGTGCACTCATCACAAAGAAGTTTCTCAGAATGCTTCTGTGTAGTTTTTATGTGAAGATATTTCCTTTTCCACCATAGGCCACAAAGGGCTCCAAATATCCACTTGCAGATTCTACAAAGGGAGAGTTTCAAAACTGCTCTATCAAAATATGCGTTTAACTCTGTAAGATGAATGCACACATGACAAAAAAGTTTCTCAGAATGCTTCTGTCTAGTTTTTATGTGAAGATATTTCCCTTTCCACCATAGGCCTTGAAGCGCTCCAAATATCCACTTGTAGATTCTACAAAAAGAGAATTTGAAAATTGCTCAATGAAAAGAAAGGTGCCACTCTGTGAGATGAATGCACACATCACAAAGAAGTTTCTCCGAATGCTGCTGTGCTGTTTTAATGTGGTGATATTTCCTTTCCCACAATAGACCTCCAAGGGCACCAAATATCGACTTGCAGATTCTACTAAAAGAGTGTTTGGAAACTGCTCAATCAAAAGGAAGTTTCAACTCTGTAAGCTGAATGCTCTCATCACAGAGAAGTTTCTCAGAATGCTTCCGTGTAGTTTCTGGGTGTGAATATTTCGTTTTCCACAATAGGTCTCAAATAACTCCAAATATCCAATTGCACAGTCTACAAAAAGAGTGTTTCCAAACTGTTCAATCAAAAGAGAGGTTCACATCTGTGAGATGAATGCCCACATCACGATATTTCTCAGAATGCTTCTGTGTAGTTTTTATGTGAAGATATTTCTTTTCCACCATAGACTGCAAAGGGTTGCAAATATCTACTTAGAGATTCTACAAAAAGAGAGTTTCAAAACTGCTCTATGAAAACATACGTTCAACTCTATGAGTTGAATGCACACATCACAAAGAAGTTGCTCAGAATGCTTCTGTGTAGTTTTTATGTGAATATATTTCCTTTTCCACAGTAGGCCTCAAATCACTCCAGATATTCACCTGCAGGTTCTACAAAAACAGTGTTTCCAAACTCCTCAATCAAAAGAAAGATTCCACTCTGTGAGATGAATGCACACATCACAAAGAAGTTTTTCAGAATGCTTCTGTGTAGTTTTTATGTGAAAATATTTCCTTTTCCACAATAGGCCTACAAGGGCTCCAAATATCCACTTGCAGATTCTACTAAAAGAGTGTTTCCACACTGCTCAATGAATAGAAAGTTTAAAGTCTGTGAGATGAATGCACACATCACAAAGGAATTTCTGAGAATGCTTTTGTGTAGTTATTATGTGAAGATATTTGCTTTTCCACAATAGGTCTTTAAGCCCTCCAAATATCCACTTGCAGATTCCATAAATAGAGTGTTTCCAAACTGCCTAATCAAAAGAGAGGTTCAACTCTGTGAGATGAATGCACACATCACGAAAGTTGTTCAGAATGCTTCTGTGTAGTTTTTATGTGAAGATATTTTCTTTTCCATCATAGGCCGCAAAGGGCTCCAAATATCCTCTTGCAGAGTCTACAAAAAGGGTCTTACAAAGCTGCTCTATCAAAGGATAGTTTCAACCCTGTGAGGTGAATGCACACAGCACAAAGAAGTTTCTCAGAATGGTTCTGTGTAGTTTTTATGTGAATATATTTCATTTTCCACAGTAGGCCTCAAATCACTCCAGATATTCACCTGAAGATTCTACAAAAACAGTGTTTCCAAACTCCTCAATCAGAAGAAAGATTCCACTCTGTGAGATGAATGCACACATCACAAAGAAGTTTTTCAGAATGCTTCTGTGTAGTTTTTATGTGAAAATATTTCCTTTTCCACAATAGGCCCACAAGGACTCCAAATATCCACTTGCAGATTCTACTAAAAGAGTGTTTCCACACTGCTCAATGAATAGAAAGTTTAAACTCTGTGAGATGAATGCACACATCACAAAGAAGTTTCTGAGAATGCTTTTGTGTAGTTATTATGTGAAGATATTTGCTTTTCTACAATAGGTCTCTAATCCCTCCAAATATCCACTTGCAGATTCCACAAATAGATTGTTTCCAAACTGCTCAATCAAAAGAGAGGTTCAACTCTGTGAGATGAATGCACACATCACAAAGAAGTTGCTCAGAATGTTTCTGTGTAGTTTTTATGTGAAGATATTTCCTTTTCCACCATAGGACAAAAAGGGCTCCAAATATCCACCTGCATATTCTACAAAAAGGTAGTTTCAAAACTGCTCTATTTAAACATAGGCTCAACTCTGTGAAATGAATGCACACATCACAAAGAAGTTTCTGAGAATGCTTCTGTGTACCTTTTTTATGAGAAGATATTTCCTTTTCCACCATCGGCCAAAAATGGCTCCAAATAACCCCTTGCAGATTCTACAAAAAGAGAGTTTCAAAATGGCTCTATCAAAAGATAGGTTCAACTCTGCGAGTTGAATGAACACGTCTCAAAGAAGTTTCTCAGAATGCTTCTGTGTAGTTTTTATGTGGTGATATTTCCTTTTCCACCATAAGCCTCAAAGTGCTCCAAATATGCACTAGCAGATTCTAAAAAAAGAGTGATTCAAAACTGCTCAATCAAAATACATTTTCAACTCTGTGAAATGAATGCACACAAAACAAAGAAGTTCCTGAGAATGCTTCTGTGTAGTTTTTATGTGAAAATGTTTCCTTTTCCACCATAGGCCTCCAAGCGCTCCAAATATCCACTTACAGATCCTACAAAAAGAGTGTTTCAAAACTGCTCTATCAAAAGAAAGGTTCAACTCTGTGAGATGAATGCACACATCACAAAGAAGTTTCTCAGAATTCTTCAGTGTAGTTTTAATGTGAAGATATTTCCTTTTACACCAAAAGCCTCAAAGTTGTCAAAATATCCACTTACAGATTCTACAAAAAGTGTGTTTCCAAACTGCTCAATCAAAAGAAAGGTTTAAATTTGTGAGATGAATGCGCTCATCACAAAGAAGTTTCTCAGAATGTTTCTATGTAATTTTTTTTGAAGATATTTCCTTTTCCACCATAGGTGGCAAAGGGCTCCAATAATCCGTTTGCAGATTCTACAAAAAGAGAGTTTCAAAACTGCTCAATCAAAAGAAAGTTTCCACTCTGTGAGATGAATGCACACATCAAAAAGAAGTTTCTCAGAATGCTTCTGTATAGTTTTAATGTGAAGATATTTCCTTTTCCACCATAGGCCTCAAAACGCCCCAGATATCCACCTGCGGATTCTACAAAAAGAGTGTTTCAAAACTGCTTAGTGAAAACAGAGATTCAACTCTGTGATATGAATTCACACATTCAAAAGATGTTTCTTAGAATGCTTTTGTGTCATTTTAATATGAAGTTATTTCCTTTTCATCCATAGGCCTTAAATCGCCACAAAAACCCACTTGCTGATTATAAAACAGAGGGTTTCAAAACTGCTCAGTCAAAAGAAAGTTTCAACTCTGTGAGATGAATACTCACATCACCAAGTAGTTTCTCAGAATGCTTCTGTGTAGTTTTTATGTGAAGATATTTCCTTTTCCACCATAGGCCTCAAAACGCCCCAGATATCCACTTGCGGATTCTACAAAAAGAGTGTTTCAAAACTGCTTAGTGAAAACAGAGATTCAACTCTGTGATATGAATTCACACATTCAAAAGATGTTTCTTAGAATGCTTTTGTGTCATTTTAATATGAAGTTATTTCCTTTTCATCCATAGGCCTTAAATCGCCACAAAAACCCACTTGCTGATTATAAAACAGAGGGTTTCAAAACTGCTCAGTCAAAAGAAAGTTTCAACTCTGTGAGATGAATACTCACATCACCAAGTAGTTTCTCTGAATTCTTCTGTGTAGTTTTTATGGGAAGATATTTCCTTTTCGACCATAGGCCACAAAGGGCTGAAAATATCCACGTGCGGATTCTACGGAAAGAGTGTTTCAAAACTGCTCAATCAAAAGAAAGGTTCAACTCTGTGAGATGAATGCACACATTACAAAGTAGTTTCTCAGAATGTTTCTGTGTAGTTTTTATGTGAAGATATTTCCTTTTCCACAATAGGCCTCAAATTGCTCCACATATCGACTTGCAGATTCTTCAAAAAGAGTGTTTCAAAACCATTCATTCAAAAGAAAGATTCAACTCTGTGAGATGAATGCACACAACCCAAAGAAGTTTCTCAGAATCCTTCTGTTTAGTTTTTATGAGAATACATTTCCTTTCTCACCTTAGGTCTCAAAGCGCTCCAAATATCCACTTGAAGATTCTACAAAAAAAGTCTTTCAAAACTCCTCAATCAAAAGAAAGATTCAACTCTGTCAGATGAATGCACACTTCACAAAGAAGTTTCTCAGAATTCTTCTGTGTAGTTTTTATGTGAAGATATTTCCTTTTCCACAATACACATCAAAGCACTCCAAATATCAACGTGCAGATACTACAAACAGAGTGTTTCAAAACTGATCAATCAAAAGATAGGTTCACATCCGTGAGTTGAATGCACACAACGCAAAGTAGTTTCTCTGAATGCTTCTCTGTAGTTTTTATGGGAATATACTTCCTTCTAGACCATAGGCCACAAAGGGTTCCAAATATCCCTTTGCAGACTCTATGAAAAGAGAGTTTCAAAACTGTTCATTCAAAGGATAGGGTCAACTCTGTGAGATGAATGCACACATCACAAAGAAGTTTCACAGAATGCTTCTGTGTTGTTTTTATGTGAAGATATTTCCTTTTCCACAATAGGCCTCAAAGCGTTCCAAATATCCACTTTCAGATACTACAAAAGTTTGTTTCAAAACTGCTCAATCAAAAGAAAGTTTCATCTCCGTGAGATGAATGCACACATCAGAAATAAGTTTCTCAGAATGCTTCTGTGTGGTTTTTACGTGAAGATATTTTCTTTTCCACAATAGGCTTCAAAGCGCTCCAAATATCCACTTACAGATTCTACAAAAAGAGTGTTTCCAAAGTGCCCAATCAAATAAAAGGCTCAATGCTGTAAGATGAAGGCATGCAACAAAAGAAGTTTCTCAGAATTTGTGAGATGAATGCACTCATCACAAAGAAGTTTCTCAGAATGTTTCTATGTAATTTTTTTGTGAAGATATTTCCTTTTCCACCATTGGCCACAAAGGGCTCCAAATATCCACTTGCATATTCTACAAAAAGAGAGTTCCAAAGCTGCTCTATCAAAAGATAGCTTCAACTCTGTGATTGGAATGCTCATATCACAAAGGTGTTTATCAGAATGCTTCTGTGTATTTTTTTTGTGAAGGTGTATCCTTTTCCACCATAGTCCAGAAAGGGCTCCAAATAACCACTTGCATATTCTACAAAAAGAGAGTTTCAAAACTGATCTTTCAAAAGATAGGTTCAAGTCCAAGAGATGAATGCACACATCACAAGGAAGTTTCTCAGAATGCTTCTGTTTAGATTTTATGTGAAGATATTTCCTTTTCCACCATAAGCCTCAAAGTGCTCCAAATATCCAGTTGCAGATTCGACAAAAAGAGTGTTTCAAAACTGCTCAAGCAAAAGAAAGTTTCAACTCTCTGAGATGAATGCACACATCACAAAGAGGTTTCTCCGAATGCTTCTGTGTAGTTTTTATGGGAAGATATTTCCTTTTTCACCATTGGCCACAAAGTGCTCCATATAACCACTGGCAGATTCCATTAAAAGAGAGTTTCAAAACTGCTATATCAAAAGATGGCTTCATCTCAGTGAGGTGGATGGACACATCACAAAAAGTTTCTCAGAATCCTTCTGTAGTTTTTGTTGGAAGATATTTCTCTTTCCACCATAGGCCGCAAAGCACCCCAAATGTCCACTTTCAGACTCTATGAAAAAATTGTTTCAAAATTGCTCAATCAAAAGAAATGTTCAATTCTGTGAGATGAATGCACACATCACAAAGAAGTTTCTCAAAATGCTTCTGTGTAGTTTTTATGTGAAGATTTTCCCTTTTCCACTGTAGGCCACAAAGCCCTCAAAATATCCACTTGCAGATTCTACAAAAAGTGTTTTTCAAAACTGCTCAAATGAAAGAAATTTCAACTCTATGAGATGAATGCCCACATCACAAAGAAGTTTCTCAGAATGCTTCTGTGTAGTTTTTATATGAAGAAATTTCCCTTTCCACCATAAGACAAAAGGACTCAAAATATCCAGATGAAGATTCTTCAAAAGAGAATTTCGAAACTGCTCTTTCAAAAGATAGGTTGAACTCTGTGAGATGAATGCACACATCACAAGAAGTTTCTCAGAATGCTTCTGTGTATTTTTTATGTGAAGACATTTCCTTTTCCAACATAGGCCTCAGAGCACTGCAAATATCCACTTGGAGATACTACAAAAAGAGTGTTTCAAAACTACTCAATCAACAGAAAATTTCAACTCTGTGAGACGAATGCACACATCAAAAAGAAGTTTCTCGGAATGTTTGTGTGTAGTTTTTATGTGAAGATATTTCCTTTTCCACCATAGGCCACAAAGCCCTCCAAATATCCACTTGCAGATTCTACAAAAAGTGTTTTTCAAAACTGCTCAAATGAAAGAAATTTCAACTCTGTGAGATGAATGCCCAACATCACAAAGAAGTTTCTCAGAATGCTTCTGTGTAGTTTTTATGTGATGATATTTCCTTTTCCACAATAGGCCTCAAAGCGCACCAAATATCCACTTGCAGGCTCTACAAAAAGAGTGTTTCCAAACTGCTCCATCAAAAGGGGACTTCAACTCTGTGAGATGAATACACACAAAACAAAGAAGTTTCTGAGAATGCTTCTGTGTAGTTTTTACGTGAAGATACTTCCTTTTCCACAGTAGGCCTCAAAGCGCTCCAAATATCTACTTACAGATTCTACAAAAACAGTGTTTCCAAACTGCTCAATCAAAATAGAGATTCAAATCTGTGAGATGAATGCCCACATCACAAAGAAGTTTCTCAGAATCCTTCTTTGTAGTTTTTATGTGAAGATATTTCGTTTTCCACCATAGTCTGCAAGGGGCTCCAAATTTCCAATTGCATTTCCTACAAAAAGAGGTTTTCAGTACTGCTCTGTCAAAAGAAAGTTTCAACTATGTGCCATGAATGCACTCAAACAAAGAAGTTTCACAGAATGCTTCTGTGTTGTTTTTATATGAAGTTATTTCCTTTTCCACCATAAGAGGAAATGGGCTCCAAATATCCACTGGCATGTTCCACAAAAATAGAGTTTCAAAACTGTTCTATCAAAAGATAGGTTCAACTATGTAGGATGAATGCACACATTACAAAGAAGTTTCTCATAACGTTTCTGTGTAGTTTTTATGGGGAGATATTTCCTTTTCCACCATTGGCTACTAAGGACTCCAAATATCCACTTTCAGATTCTGCAAAAGAGAGTTTCAAAACTGCTCTATGAAAAGACAGTTTAAACTCTGAGAGTTGAATGCACACATCACAGAGAAGTTTCTCAGAATGCTTCTGTGTAGTTTTAATGTGAACATATTTTCTTTTCCACCATAGTCCTCAAAGCACTCCAAATATTCACTTGAAGAATCTACAAAAAGAGTGTTTCAAAACTGCTCAAAGCAATGTTTCAACTCTTTGAGATGAAAGCGCACATTACAAAGAAGTTTCACAGAATGCTTCTCTGTAGTTTTTATATGAAGATTTTCCCTTTTCAACCATAGGCCTCAAAGCGCTCCAAATATTCACTTGCAGATTCTACAAAAAGAGTGTTTCACAACTGCTCAATCGAATGAAATGTCCAAATTTATGAGATACATGCACACATCACAAAGAAGTTTATCAGAATGCTTCTGTGATGCTTTTCTGTGAAAATATTTCCTTTTCCTCCATAGGCCTCAAAGTGCTCCAAATATCCACTTGCAGATTCTACAAAAAGAGTCTTTCTAAACTGCTCAATATAAAGAAAGGTTCAACTCCATGAAATGAATACACACATCACAAAGAAGTTTCTCAGACTGCCTCTGTGTAGTTTTTATTAGAAAATATTTCCTTTTCTACCATAGGCTGCAAAGGGCTTCAAATATCCACTTGCAGATACTACAAAAAGAGAGTTTCACAACTGCTCTATCAAAAGATAGTCTGAACACTATGAGTTGAATGCATACATCACAATAGAGTTTCTCATAATGCTTCTATGTAGTTTTTATGAGAAGATATTTCCTTTTCCACCATAGGCCACAAAGGGCTCCAAATATCCACTTGCAGATTCAACATAAAGAAAGATTCAAAGCTGCTCTTTCAAAAGATAGGTTCAACTTTGTGAGTTGAATGCACACATCACAAAGAGGTTTCTCAGAATGCTTCTGTGTAGTTTTTATGTGAAGATATTTCCTTTTCCACCATAGGCCTCAAGCGCTCAAAATATCCACTTGAAGATTCTATGAAAAGAGTGTTTCAAAACTGTGCAATGAAAAGAAAGGTTCAGGATGGGCGTGGTGGCTCATGCCTGTAATCCCAACACTTTGGGAGGCTGAGGCGGGTGGATCACGAGGTCAGGAGATGGAGACCATCCTGCCTAACATGGGGAAACCCTGTCTCGACTAAAAATACAAAAAATTAGCTGGGCGTGGTGGCGGGCACCTGTAATCCCAGCTACTTGGGAGGCTGAGGCAGGAGAATGGCGTGAACCCAGGAGGCAGAGCTTACAGTGAGCAGAGATCGCACCACTGCACTCCAGCCTGGGTGACAGAGCAAGACTCCATCTCAAAAAAAAAAAGAAAGAAAGAAAGAAAAGAAAAGAAAGGTTCACTTCTATGTCAGGAATGCACACATCACAAGGAAGTTTCTCAGAATGCTTCTGTGTAGTTTATATGTGAAGTTACCTCCTTTTCCACAATATGCTCGAAATCACTGCAAATATCCACTTGCAGAATCTACAAAAAGGGTGTTTCCAAACTGCTCAAAAGAGAGGTTCAACTCTGTGAGATGAATGCACACATCACAAAGAAATTTATCAGAATACTTCTGTGTAGATTTTATGTGAAGATATTTCCTTTTCCACCATAGGCCACAAAGGGCTCAAAATATCCAATTCAAGGTTGTACAAAAGGAGAGTTTTAAAACTGCTCTATCAAAAGACAGGTTCAATCCTGTGAGTTGAATGCATGCAACACAAAGAAGTTTCTCAGAATGCTTCCGTGTAGTTTTTATGTGAAGATATTTTCTTCTCCACCATAGGCCTCAAAGTGTACCAAATATCCACTTGCAGATTCCACAAAAAGAGTTTTTCCAAACTGCTCAATCAAAGGAAAGGTTCAACTCTGTGAGATGAAAGCACACATCACAAAGAAGGTTCTCAGAATGCTTCTGTATAGTTTATAATGGAAGATATTTCCTTTTCCTCCGTAGGCCTTAAAGCGAGCAAGTATCCACTTGTAGATTCTACAAAAAGAGTGTTTCCAAACTGCTCAAGGAAAAGAAAGTTTCGACTCTGTGAGATGAATGCACACATCACAAAGAAGTTTCCGAGAGGGCTTCTGTGTAGTTTTTATGTAAAGATATCTCCTTTTCGACAATAGGCCTCAAAGCCCTCCAAGTATCCACTTGCAGATTCTGCAAAACGTGTTTGAAAACTGCTCAATCAAATGGCATGTTCAACTCTGTGAGATGAATGCACACATTACAAAGAAATTTCTCAGAATGCTTTTGTGTAGTTTTTATGGGAAGATATTTCGTTTTCCACCATTGGTCACTAAAGGCTCAAAATATCCACTTGCAGATTCTACAAAAAGAGAGTTTCAAAGCTGCTCTATGAAAAGACAGGTTCAACTCTGCGAGTTGAATGCACACATCAGAGAGAAGTTTCTGAGAATGCTTCTATGTGGTTTTAATGTGAAGATATTTCCTTTTACACCATAGTCCTCAAAGCACTCCAAATATCCACTTGCAGATTCTACAAAAAGAGTTTTTCAAAACTGCTCAATCAAAACAAAGGTTCAATTGGTGAGATGAATGCGCACATCACAAAGAAGATTCTCAGAATGCTTCTCTGTAGTTTTTATGTGAAGATTTTTCCTTTTCCACAATAGGCCTCAAAGCACTCCAAATATCCTCTTGCAGATACTACAAAAAGAGTATTTCAAAACTGCTCAATCGAATGAAAGGTTCAAATCTATGAGATGCATGCACACATCACAAGGAATTTCTCAGAATGTTTCTGTGATGTTTTACTGTGAAGATATTTCCTTTTCCACCATAGACCTCAAAGCACTACAAATATCCACTTGCAGATTCTACCAAAAGAGTGTTTCCAAACTGCTCAATCAAAAGAAATGTTCAACACTGTGAGATGAATGCACACATCACAAAGAAGATTCTCAGAATGCTTCTGTGTAGTTTTTATATGAAAATATTTCCTTTTCCACTATAGGCCCCAAAGGGCTCCAAATATCCACTTGCAGATACTATAAAAAGAGAGTTTCACAACTGCTCTATCAAAAGGTAGGTTGAACACTGTGAGTTGAATGCACACATCACAAAGGAGTTTCTCAGAATGCATCTGTGTAGTTTTTATGAGAAGATATTTCCTTTCCCACCATAGGCCACAAACGGCTCCAAATATCCACTTGCAGATTCAACATAAAGAGAATTTCAAAATTGCTCTGTCAAAAAACAGGTTCATCTTTGTGAGTTGAATGCACACATCAGAAATAAGTTTCTCAGAATGCTTCTGTGTAGTTTTTATGTGAAGATATTTCCTTTTCCAAAATAGACCTCCTATGACTCCAAATATACAATTGCAGCTTCTAAAAAAAAGGGAGTTTTAAAACTGATTTATAAAAAAATAGTTTCAACTCTGTGAGATGAATGCACTCATAACCAAAAATTTCTCAGAATGCTTCTGTGTAGTTTTTATGTGAAGATATTTCCTTTTCTACGATAGGCCTCCTATGGTTCCAAATATCCACATGCAAATTCTAGAAAAAGACAGTTTCAAGACTGCTCTATCAAAAGGTAGGTTCAACTCTGTGAGATGAATCCACAGATCACAAAGAATTTTCTCAGAATGCTTCTGTGTAGTTTTTATGTGAAGATATCTCCTTTTCCACCATAGGGCTCAAAGCACTCCAAACATCCATTTGCAGATTCTACAAAAAGAGTGTTTCAAAACTGCTCAACCAAATGAAAGTTTCAATTCTGGAAGATGAATGCACACATCACAAAGAAGTTTCTCGGAATGCTTCAGTGCAGTTTTTATGTGAAGATATTTCCTTTTCCACCTTAGGCCTCAAAGGGATGCAAATTTCCACTTGCAGATTCTACAAAAAGAGTGTTTGACAACTACACAATCAAAAGAAAGGTTCAACTCCGTGAGACGAATGTACACAAAACAAACAAGTTTCTGAGAATGCTTCTGTGTAGTTTTTATGATGTGAAGATATTTCCTTTTCTACAATAAGCCTCAAAGCGCTTAAAATATCCGCTTGCATTTCCTACAAAAAGAGTGTTTCAAAATTGCTCAGACAAATGAAAGGTTCAACTCTGTGAGATGAATGCACACATCAGAAAGAACTTTCTCAGAATGCTTCTGTGTAGTTTTTATGGGAAGATATTACCTTTTCCGGCAGCGGCCACAAAGGGCTCCAAATAAGCACATGCAGATACTACAAAAAGAGAGTTTCAAAACTGCTCTATCAAAAGATAGGTTCAACTCTGTGAGCTGAATGCACAAATCACAAAGAAGTTTCTCAGAATGCTTCTGTGTAGTTTTTATGGGAAGATATTTCCTTTTCCACCATAAGCCTCAAAGTGATCCAAGTATCCACTTGCATATTCTACAAAAAGTGTGTTTCAAAATTACTCAATCAAAAGATAGTTTCAGCTCTGTGAGATGAATGCTCACATCACAAAGAAGTTTCCCAGAATGCTTCTATGTAGTTTTCATGTGAAGTTATTTCATATTCCACAATAGGCCTCCAGGTGCTCCTAATATACACTTACAGATTCTACAAAAAGAGTATTGCGATGCTTGCATTCTTCTCACAGAGTTGAACTTTCTTTTGATTGAGCAGTCTGGAAACACTCTTTTTGTACATTCTGCAAAGAGATATTTCTGAACCGCTTGAGGCCTATGAGGAAAAATAAATATCTTCATATAAAACTAGACAAAAGCATTCTGAGAAACTTCTTTGTGATGTGTGATGTGTCCCTTCGTCTCACAGAGTTGAACCTTTCTTTTCATTGTGCTCTATGTAAACAGTCTTTTCACAGAAACTGTAGAGGGATATCTGTGAGCCTTTGATGTCCTATGGTGAAAAAGGAAATATCTTCACATATAAACTAGACAGACGAATTCTGCGCAACTACTTTGTGATAAGTCCATTCATCTCACAGTGTTGAACCTTTCTTTTGATTGAGCAGCTTGGAAAGAGTCCTTTTGAAGAATCTGCAGACAGACATTTGTGAGTCCTCGAAGGCCTATGGTGAAGTAGGAAATATCTCCACATAAAAGCTAGACAGAAGCATTCTGAGAAACTTCTTTGTGACACCTGCATTCATCTCACAGAGTTGAACCTTTCTATTGATTGAGCAGTTTGGAAACAATCTTTTTGTAGAATCAGCAAAGGTATATTTCTGAGCTGTTTAAGGCCAATGGTGAAAATGAATAATCTTCACATAAAAACTAGTCAGAAGCATTCTGAGAAACGTTTTGTGATTTGTCCATTCATCTCACAGAGTTGAATCTTTCTTTTGATTGAGCTGTTTGGACACAATATTTTCTTAGAATCTGCAGAGGGATATTTGTGAGCCCTTTATGGCCCATAGTGAAACAGGAAATATCTTCACATAAAAACTAGACAGAAGCTTTCTGAGAAACATCTTTGTGACGTGTGCTTTCATCTCACTGAGTTGAACCTCTCTTTAGTTTGAGTAGTTTGGAAACAGGCCTTTTGTAGTGTCTGCAAATGGATATTTGGAGCGCTTTGAGGCCTAGGGTGAAAAAGGAAATATCTTCACATGAAAACTAGACTGAAGAATTCTGAGAAACTTCTTTGTGATGTGTGCATTCATCTCACAGAGTTGAACCTTCTTTTGATTGAGTAGTTTGGAAAGAGTCCTTTTGTACAATCTGCAAAGGGATATTTCTGAGCCCTTTATGGCCTATGGTGAAATAGGAAATATCTTCACAGAAAAACTAGACAGAAGTTTCTGGGAAACTACTTTGTGATGTAGGCTTTCATCTCACAGAGTTGAAATTTTCCTTTGGTTGAGCAGTTTGGAAACACTCTTTTTGTAGAATCTGCAAATGGACATTTGGAGTGCTTTGAGGCCTACGGTGAAAAAGGAAATATCTTCACGTAAAAACTAGACAGAAGCATTCTGAGAAACTTCATTGTGTTGTGTGCATTCATCTCACAGAGTTGAACTTTTCTTTTGATGGAGCAGTTTGGAAACAGTCTTTTTCAAGTATCTGCGGAGGGATATTAGTGACCAGTTTAAGGCCTATGGTGAAAAAGGAAATATCTTCACAAAAAAACTAGAAAGAAGCATTCTGAGAAACTTCTTTGTGATGTGTGTATTCATCATGCAGAGTTGAACTTTCTTTTGATTGAGCAGTTTGGAAACACTCATTTGGTAGATTCTGCAAATTGACATTTGGAGTGCATTGAGGACTATGGTGAAAAAGGAAATATCTTCACATAAAAACTAGATGGAAGCATTCTGTGAAACTTCTTTGTGATGTATGCTTTCGTCTCACAGAGTTGAACCTTTCTTTTGATTGAGCAGTTTGGAAAAAGTGTTTTTGTACAATCTACAAAGGGATATTTCTGAACCATTTGAGGCCTATGGTGAAAAAGAAAGATCTTCACATAAAAACTAGACAGAAGCATTCTGAGAAACTTCGTTGTAATGTGTGCATTCATCTTACAAAGTTGAACACTTCTTTTTATTGAACAGTTTGCAGATATTTTTTGTAGAATCTGTAAAGGGATAATTTTGAGCCCTTTATGGCCTATGGTGAAATAGGAAGTGCCTTCACATAAAAAACTAGACAGCATCATTCTGAGAAACTTCTTTGTGATGTGTGCTTTCATCTCACAGAGCTGAACCACTCTTTTGTTTGAACAGTATCAAAATAGTCTTATTCTAGAATATTCAAAGGGAAATTTGGACCGCTTTTTGGCCTATAGTGAAAAAGGAAATATCTTCACATTAAAAGTAGACATAAGAATTCTGAATTCTGAGAAACTTATTTGTGATGCATGCATTCGTCTCATAGATTTGAACCTTCCTTTTGATTGAACAGTTTGGAAACAGTCCTTTTGAAGAATCTGCAAAGTGATATTTTTGAGCCATTGAGGCCTATGGTGAAATAGAAAATATCTTCACATAAAAACTAGACAGAAGCCTTCTGAGAAACTACTTTGTGATGTGTGCTTTCATCTCACAGAGTTGAACCTTTCTTTTGATTGAGCAGTTTCAAAACAGTATTTTGTACAATCTGCAAACAGTTATTTCAGAGCCTTTGGAGGCCTATGCTGAAAAAGAAATATCTTCACATAAAAACCAGACTGAATCATTCTCAGAAACTTCTTTGTGATGTGTCCATTCATCTCACAGAGTTGAACTTTTCTTTTAATTGAGCAGTTTGGAAACAGTCTTTTTGTAGAATCTGCAGAGGGATACTTGTCAGACCTTCATGGCCTAAGGTGAAATAGGAAATGTCTTCACATAAAAACTATGCAGAAGCCTTCTGAGAAACTTCTTTGTGATGTATGCTTTCATGTCATGGAGTTGAAAGATTCTTTCGATTGAGCAGTTTGGAAACAGTCTTTTTTGTAGAACATGAAAATGGATATTTGGAGTGCCTTGTGGCCTATTCTGGAAAAAGAAATATCTTCACATAAAGACTAAACAGAAGCATTCTGAGAAATTTCTTTGTGATGTGTGCATTCATCTCACAGAGTTGAACCTTTCTGTTCATGGAGCAGTTTGAAGATAGTATTTTGTAGTATCTGCAGAGAGATATTTGTGAGCCGTTTAAGGCCTTTGGTGAAAAAGGAAATGTCTTCACATAAAAAGTCGACAGAAGCATTTTGAGAAACTTCTTTGTGATGTGTTCATTCATCTCACAGTGTTAAAAATTTCCTTTGATTGAGCAGTTTGCAAGCACTCTTTCTGTAGAATCTGCAAATGGATATTTAGAGAACTTCGAGGCCTACGTTAGGAAATGAAATATCTTCATATAAAAACTAAACAGAAGCTTTCTGAGAAACTTTTTGTGATATGTGCATTCACCTCACAGAGTTGAAACTTTCCTTTTATTGAGCAGTTTGGGAACTGTCTTTTTGTAGAATCTGCAAATGGATATTCGGAGCACTTTGGGGCCTATGTTGAAAAAGGAAATATCTTCACTTAAAAACTAGACAGAAGCATTCTGAGAAACTTCTTTGTGATGTGTGCATTCATCTCACAGATTTGAACATTTCTTTTGACTGAACAGTTGGGAAACAGTCCTTTTGTAGAATATTGAATGGGATATATTTGAGCCCTTTTAGGCCTATGGTGAAATAGGAAATATCTTCACATAAAAGCTAGACAGAAGGTTTCTAAGAAACATTTTTGTGTTGTGTGCTTTCATCTCACAGAGTTGAAGCTTTCCTTTGATGGAGTAGTTTGGAGACCGTATTTTCATAGTATCTGCAGAGGGATACTTCTGAGCCCTTTATGCCCTATGGTGAAATAGGATATATCTTCACTTAAAAACTAGACAGAAGCTTTCTGAGAAACTTCTTTGGGTTTCCTGTTTTCATCTCACAGAGTTCAAACTTTCTTTTGATTGAGCAGTTTGGAAACGGTCTTTTTCTAGTATCTGCAAAGGGATATTAGTGAGCAGTTTGAGGCCTATGGTGAAACAGGAAATATCTCCACATAAAAACTAGACAGAAGCTTTTTAAAAAACTTCTTTGGGAAGTTTGCATTCATCTCACAGAGTTGACCGTTTCTTTTCATTGAGCAGTTTGGAAACAGTGCTTCTTGTACAATCTGCAAAGGGATATTTCTGAGCGGTTTAAGGCATATGGTGAAAAAGGAAATATCTTCACTTAAAAACTAGGCAAAAACATTCTAAGAAACTTCTTTGTGATGTGTGCATTCATCTCATAGAGATGAATAAGTCTTTTGATTGAGCAGTTTAGAAACAGACATTTGGTAGAATCTGCAAAGGGATACTTGTGAGTCCTTTGTGGCCTCGGGTGAAATAAGAAATATCTTCACATAAAAACTAGACAGAAGCATTCTGAGAAACTTCTTTGTGATGTGTGCTGTCATTTCACAGAGTTGAAACTTTCTTTTGATTGAGCAGTTTGGAAAGAGTCCTTTTGTAGAATCTGCAAAGGGATATTTGTGAGCCCTTTATGGCCTATGGTGAAATAGGAAATATCTTCACATAAAAACTACACAGAAATTTCTGAGAAACTACTTTGTGATGTAGACTTTCATTTCACAGTGTTGAACCTTTCTTTTGATTGAGCAGTTTGGAAACAGTCTTTTTGTAGAATCTGTAAATGGATATTTGGAGCGCATTGTGGCCTATGGTGAAAAAGGAAATATCTTCACGTAAAAACTAGGCAGAAACATTCTGAGAAACTTCTTTGTAATGCCTGCATTCATCTCACAGAGTTGAACCTTTCTTTTGAGTGAGCAGTTTGGAAACAGTCTTTTTGTACAATCTGCAAAGGGATATTTCTGAAACGTTTGAGGCCTATGGTGAGAAAGAAAGATCTTGACAAAAAAACTAGACAGAAGCATTCTGAGAAACTTCACTGTGATTTGTGCTTTCATCTCACAGAGTTGAACAATTCTTTTTATTGAACAGTTTGCAAAGAGTTTTTTGTAGAATCTGCAAAGGGATAATTTTGAGCCCTTTATGGCCTATGGTCAAATAGGAAATGTCTTCACATAAAAACTAGACAGAATCATTCTGAGAAACTTTTTCGTGATGTGTGCTTTCATGTCACAGAGCTGAACCAGTCTTTTGTTTGAACAGTATGCAAATAGTCTTTTTCTAGAATCTGCAAATGGATATTTGGAGCACTTTGAGGCCTATAGTGAAAAAGGAAATATCTTCACGTAAAAACTAGACAGAGGAATTCTGAGAAACTTCTTTGTGATGCCTGCATTCATCTCACAGAGTTGAACGTTTCTTTTGATTGAACAGTTTGGAAACCGTCCTTGTGTAGAATCTGCAAAGGGATATTTGTGAGCCAATTGAGGCCAATTGTGAAATAGAAAATATCTTCACATAACAACTAGATAGAAGCTTTCTGAGAAACTTCTTTGTGCTGTGTGCTTTCATCTCACAGAGTTGAGACTTTCTTTTGATTGAGCAGTTTTGAAACAGTCTTCTGTACAATCTGTAAGGGATATTTCTGAGCCTTTTGAGGCCTACAGTGAAAAAGAATTATCTTCACATAAAAACTAGACCAAAGCATTCTGAGAAACTTCTTTGTGATGTGTCCATTCATCTCACAGAGTTGAACCTTTCTTTTGATTGAGCAGTTTGGAAACAGTCTTTTCATAGTATCTGCAGAGGGATATTTGTCAGCCCTTTATGGCCTAAGATGAAATAGGAAATGTCTTCACATAAAAACTATACAGAAGCCTTCTGAGAAACTTCTTTGTGACGTATACTTTCATGTCATGGAGTTGAAACATTCTTTTGATGGAGCAGTTTGGAAACTGTCCTTTGTAGAACATGAAAATGGATATTTGGAGTGCTTTGTGGCTTATGGTGAAAAAGGAAAAACCTTCACATAAAGACTAGACAGAAGCATTCTGAGAAACTTCTTTGTGATGTGTGCATTCATCTCACAGAGTTGAACCTTTCTTTTGATGGAGCAGTTTGCAAACAATCCCTTTGAAGAATATTGAATGTGATATTTGTGAGCCCTTTGAGGCCTATGGTGAAATAGGAAATATCTTCACATAAGAGCTAGACAGAATATTTCTGAGAAACATCTTTGTGATGTGTGCATTCATCTCACAGAGTTGAAACTTTCCTTTTATTGAGTAGTTTTGAAACAGACTTTTTGTAGAATCTGCAAAGGGATAGTTCTGAGCCCTTTATGCCCTATGGTGAAATAGGAATTATCTTCACTTAAAAACTATACAGAAGTTTTCTGAGAAACTTCCTTGGGATGCCTGCTTTCATCTCAACCTTTCTCTTGATTGATCAGTTTGGAAACAGTCTTTTTGAAGTATCTGCTAATGGATATTTGGAGCACTTTGAGGCCAATGGTGACAAAGGAAATATCTTCATAGAAAAACTGGACAGAACCAATCTGAATAACTTCCTCATGATATGTGCATTCATCTCATAGAGTTGAAACTTTCTTTTGATTGAAGAGTTTGGAAACGTTCCTTTTGTAGAATGTGCATAGGGATATAGCCTATTGAGGCCTATGGTGAAACAAGAAATATCTTCACATAAAAACTACACAGAAGCATTCCGAGAAACTTCTTTTTGATGTGTGCTTTCAACTCACAGAGTTGAACCTATCTTTTGATAGAGCACTTTTGAAACTCTCTTTTTGTAGAATCTGCAAGTGGTTATTTTGAGCCCTTTGTGGCTGATGGCAGAAAAGGAAATATCTTCCCATAAAAACTACACAGAAGCATTCTGGGAAACTTCTTTGTGATGTGTGCATTCATCTCACAGTGTTGAACCTTTCATTTGATTGAGCAGTTTGGAAACACTCTTTTTTTAGAATCTGCCAGTGGATATTTGGTGTGCTTTGAGGCCTATAGTGGAAAAGGAAATATCTTCACAAAAAAAACTACACAGAAGCATTCTCAGAAACTTCTTTGTTTTGTGTGCATTCATGTCACAGAATTGAAACTTTCTTTTGAATGAGAAGTTTTGAAACACTCTTTTTGTAGAATCTGCAAGTGGATATTTGGATCGCTTTGAGGCCTACGGTGGAAAGGAAATATCATCACATAAAAACTACACAGAGGCATTCTGAGAAACTACTTCATTTTGTGTGCATTAGTCTCACAGAGTTGAACATATCTTTTGATAGAACAGTTTTGAAACTCTCTTTTGTAGAATCTGCAAGTGGTTATTTGGAGCCCTTTGTGGCTGATGGTGGAAAAGGAAATATCTTCCCATAAAAATTACACAGAAGCATTCCGAGAAAATATTTTGTGATGTGTGAATTCGTCTCTCAGAGTTGAACATTTCGTTTGATACAGCAGTTTTGAAGCACTCTTTTTGTAGAATCTGCAACTGGTTATTTGGAGCGCTTTGGGGCCTATTGTGGAAATGGAAATATCTTCCCATAAAAACTACACAAAAGCATACTCAGAAACTACTTGGTGATGTGGTGATGTGTGCATTCATCTCACAGAGTTGAACCTTTCTTCTGATTGAGCAGTTTGGAAACACTCTTTTTGTAGGTTCTGCAAGTGGATATTTATAGCGCTTTGAGGCCAATTGTGGAAAATGAAACATCTTCACATATAAAGTACACAGAAGAATTCTGAGAAACTTCTTTGTGATGTGTACATTCATCTCACAGAGTTGAACCTATCTTTTGAAAGAGCAGTTTTGAAACTCTCTATTTGTGGAATCTGCATATGGATATTTGGAGTCGTTTGCAGCTTATTGTGGAAAAGGAAATATCTTCACATAAAAACTACACAGAAGCATTCTGAGAAACTTGTTTGTGATGTGTGCATTCAACTCAGAGTGTTGAACCTGTCTTTTGATAGAGCCGTTTTGAAACACTCTTTTTGTAGAATCTGCAAGTGGATATTTGGAGCCCTTTGCGTCCTACGGTGGAAATGGAAATATCTTCACATAAAAACTACACTGAAGCATTTTGAGAAACTTCTTTCTGATATGTGCATTCATCCCACAGATTTGAACAATTCTTTTCTTTGAGCAGCTTTGAAACATTGTTTTCATACAGTCTGGAAGAGGATATTTGGAGCCCCTTAAGGCCTATGGTGAAAAGGAAATATCTTCACATAAAAACAACATAGAGGCATTCTGAGAAACTACTTTGTGATGTTTGCATTTAACTCATTGAGTTGAACCTATCTTTTGATAGAGCAGTTTTGAAATCCTCTTTTTGTAGATTCTGCAAGTGGATATTTGGAGCTTTTTGTGGCCTTTGGTGGAAAAGGAAATATATTCAGACAAAAACTACACAGAAGAATTCTGAGAAAATTCTTTGGATGTGTGCATTCATCTCACAGAGTTGAACCTTTCTTTTGATTGAGCAGTTTTTAAACACTCTTTTTGTAGAATCTGAAGTGGATATTTGGAGCGCTTTGAGGCCCATGGTACAAAAAGAAATATCTTCACATAAAAACTACACAGAAGCATTCTGAAAAACTTCTTTGTGATGTGTGCATTCATCTCACAGAGTTGAACCTATATTTTGATAGAGCACTTTTGAAACTCTCTTTTTGTAGAATCTGCAACTGGTTATTTGGAGCCCTTTGCAGACAATGGTGGAAAAGAATGTACCTTCAAATAAAAACTAGACAGAAGCATTCTGAGACAATTTTTGTGATATGTGCATTCAACTCACAGAGTTGAACCTATCTTTTGATAGCGCAGTTTTGGAACTCTCTTTTTGTAGAATCTGCAAGTGGATATTTTGAGCCTTTTGTGGCCTACGGTGGAAATGGAAATATCTTCACATAAAAACTACATAGAAGCATTTTGAGAAACTTCTTTCTGATATGTGCATTCATCCCACAGATTTGAACATTTCTTTTGATTGAGCAGCTTTGAAACACTGTTTTCGTACAATCTGGAAGAGGATATTTGGAGCCCTTTAAGGCCTATGGTGAAAATGAAATATCCTCACATAAAAACAACATAGAAACATTCTGAGAAAATTCTTTGTGATGTGGGCATTCAACGTGCAGAGTTGAAGCTATCTTTTGTTAGAGCCACTTTGAAACTCTCTTTTTGTAGAATCTGCAAGTGGTTATTTGGAACCCTCTGTGGATGACGGTGTAAAAGGAAGTATCTTCTCATAAAAACTACCCAGAAGCATTCTGAGAAACTTCTTTTTGATGTTTGCCTTCAACTCGCAGAGTTTAACGTAACTTTTGATTGAGCAGTTTTGAAACTCTCTTTTTGTAGAGTCTGCAAGTGATTATTTGGAGCCCTTTGTGGCCGATGGTGGAAAAGGAAATATCTTCCCATAAAAAACTACAAAGAAGCATTCTGAGAAACTTCTTTGTGATGTGTGCATTCATCTCACAGAGTTGAATATTTCATTTGATTGAGCAGTTTTGAAACAATCTTTTTGCAGAATCTGCAAGTGGATATTTGGAGCGCTTTGAGGCCTACTGTGGAAAAGGAAACACTTCACATAAAAACTACACAGAAACATTGTCAGTAACTTCCTTGTGATGTGTGCATTCATCTCACAGAGTTGAAACTTTCTTTTGATTGAGCAGTTTGGGAACACTCTTTTAGTGGAATCTGCAAGTGGATATTTGGAGCCCTTGAAGGCCTATGTTGGAAAAGGAAATATCTTCACATAAAAACCATACAGAAGCATTCTGAGAAACTTCTTTGTGATGTGTGCATTCATCTCAGAGTGCTGAAACTTTCTTTTGATTTAGGAGTTCTGAAAAACTCTTTTTGTAGAATCTGCAAGTGGATATTTGGAACACTTTGAGGACAAAGGTGGAAAAGGAATATCTTCACATAAAAACTACAGAGAAGCATTCTGAGACACTTCTTTGTGATGTGTGCATTCATCTCACAGAGTTGATCCTATCTTTTGAGAGAGCAGTTTTGAAACTAAGTTTTTGTAGTATATGCAAGTGGATATTTGGAGCACTTTGCAGCCTGTGGTGGAAAACGAAATATCTTCACAAAAAAAATTACACAGAAGAATTCTGAGAAACGACTTTGCGATGTGTGCTTTCATCTTACAGAGTTGAACCTATGTTTTTATAGAGCAGTTTTGAAATGCTCTTGTTTAGAGTCTGCAAGTGGATATTTAAAGCACTTTGAGGCCTATTGTGGAAAAGGAACTATGTTCACATAAAAACTACACAGAAGCATTCTGAGAAACTTCTTTGTGATGTGTGCATTCATCTCACAGAGTTGAACCTTTCTTTTGTTTGAGCAATTTGGAAACACTCTTTTGGTAGAATCTGCAAGTGGATATTTGGAGTGCTTTGAGGCCTATGGTGGAAAAGGAAATATCTCCACATAGTAGCCAGACAGAAGCATTCTCAGAAACTTCTTTTTGACGTGTGCATTCAACTCACAGAGTTGAAACTTTCTTATGATAGAGCAGTTTTGAAACACTACTTTGTAGAATCTGCAAGTGGATATTTGGAGCACATGGAGGCGTATGGTGGAAAAGGAAATATCTTCATGTAAAAACTACACAGAAGTTTTCTAAGAAATTTCTGTGTGATGTGTGCTTTCACCTCATTGGCATGAAACTATCTTATGAGAGAACAATTTCGAAACTCTCTGTTTATAGGATCTGCAAGTGGTTATTTTGAGCCCTTTGTGTCTGATGTTGGAAAAGGAAATATCTTCCCATAAAAACTACACAGAAGCATTCTGAGAAACTTCTTTGTGATGTGTGCATTCATCTCACAGAGTTGATCTTTTCTTTTTATTGAGGAGTTTGGAGACACTCTTTTAGTAGAATCGGCCAGTGGATATTTGGAGTGCTTAGAGGCCTATTGTGGAAAGGAAATATCTTCACATAAAAACTACACAGAAGCATTCCTAGAAACATCTTTGGATGTATACATTCATCTCACAGAGTTGAATTTTTCTTTAGATTGAGCAGCTATGAAACAATCTTTTTGTAGAATCTGCAAGTGAATGTCTGGAGTGCTTTGAGGCCTATCATGGAAAAGGAAATATCTTCACATAAAAACTACACAGAAGCATTCTGAGAAACTTCTTTGTGATGTGTGCATTCATCTAACAGAATTGAATATTTCTTTTTATAGAGCAGTATTGAAAAACTCTTTTTGTAGAATCTGCAAGTGGATATTTGGAGTGCTATGAGGCATATGGTGGAAAAGGAAATATCTTTCCATAAAAACTACACAGAGGCATTCTGAGAAACTTCTTTGTGATGTGTGCACTCATCTCACTGAGTTGAAGCTATCATTTGATAGAGCAGTTTTGAAATTCTCTTTCTGTAGAATCTGCAAGTGGTTATTTGGAACCCTTTGTGGCCAAAGGTGGATAAGGAAATATCTTCACATAAAAACTACACAGAAGCATTCTGAGAAACTACTTTCTAATTTGTAGACCAATCACAGAGTTAAGCCTTTCAGTTGATTGAGCAGTTTTGAAACTCTCTTTTTGTGGAATCTGTAATTGGATATTTAGAGCACTTTAAGGCCTATGGTGGAAAAGGAAATATTTTCACATTAAAACTACACAGAGACATTCTGAGAAACTTCATTGTGATGTGTGCATTCATCTCACAGAGTTGAACTTTCAGTTGATTGAGTAGTTTTGAAACTCTCTTTTTGTGGAATCTGCAATTGGATATTTGGAGGAGTTTGAGGACTGAGGTGGAATCAGAAATATCTTCCCATAAAAACTAAACAGAAGCATTCTGAGAAACCTCTTCAGGAAATGTGCATTCATCTCATTGAGCTGAACCTATCTTTTGATAGAGCAGTTTTGATACTCTCTTTTCATAGAATCTGCAAGTGGTTATTGGAGTCCTTTGTGGCTGATGGTAGAAAAGGAAATATCTTCCCATAAAAACTATACAGAAGCATTCTGAGAAACTTCTTTGTTATGTGTGCATTCATCTCACAGATTTGAACACTTCTTTTGATTGAGTAGTTTGGCAACACTGTTTTCATAGTATCTGCAAGTGGATATATGGAGCGCTTTGAGGCCTATTGTGGAAAAGGAAGTATCTTCACATAAAAACTACTCAGAAGCATTCTGAGAAACTACTCTGTGATGTGTGCATTCATCAAACAGAGTTGAACCATTATTTTGGTTGAACAGTTTGGAAACACTCTTTTTGTAGAGTCTGTTAGTGGATATTTGGATCACTTTGAGGCCTATTGTGGAAAAGGAAATATTTTCACATAAAAACTACACAGAAGCATTCTGAGAAACTTCTTTGTGATGTAAGAATTCATCTCACAGCGTTGAACTTTGTTTTGATTGAGTAGTTTTGAAACACTGTTTTCGTAGAATCTGCAAGTGGCTATTTGGCATGATTTGAGACATACAGTGGAAAAGGAAATATCTTCACATAAAAACTACACAGAAGCATTCTGAGAAACTACTTTGTGATGTTTGCATTCAACTTTCAGGGTTGAACCAATCTTTTGATAGAGCAGTTTTGAAACTCTCATATTGTAGAATCTGCAAGTGGATATTTGGAGCCCTTTGAGGTCTATGGTGGAAGAGGAATTATCTTCACATAAAAACTACACAGAAACATTCTGAGAAACTTTTTGTGATGTGTGCATTCATCTAACAGAGTTGAACCTCTCTTTTGATTGAGCAGTTTGGAAAAACGCTTTTTGTAGAATCTGCAAGTAGTTATTTGGAGCGCTTTGAGGCCTATTGTGGAAAAGGAAATGTCTTCACATAAAAACTACAGAGAAGCATTCTGAGAAACTCCTTTGTGATGTCTGCATTCAACTCAAAGAGCTTTACCTATCTTTTGTTAGAGCAGTTTTGCAAATCTCTATTTGTAGAATCTGCAAGTGGATATTTGGAGGTCTTTGCGGCCTATGGTGGAAAAAGAAATATCTTCATATAAAAACTACACAGAAGCATTCTAAGAAACTTCTTTTTTGTGTGTGCAATCATCTCACAGACTTGAAAATTTCTTTTGATAGAACAGTTTTGAAACATTCTTTTTGTAGAATCTGCTAGTGGATATTTGGAGCCCTTTGCAGCCTATGGTGGAAAAGGAAATATCCTCACATAAAAAATTCACAGAACCATTCTCAGAAACTTCTTTTTTGTGTGTGCCTTCATCCCACAGAGTTGAACCTTTCTTTTGACTGAGCAGTTTTTAAACACTCTTTTTGTAGAATCTGCAAGTGGATATTTGGAGTGCATTCAGGCCTCTGGTGGAAAAGGAAATATCTTCACATAAAAACTACACAGAAGCATTCTGAGTAACTGCTTTGTGATGTGTTCATTCATCTCACAGAGTTGAACCAATGTTTTGATACAGTAGTTTTGAAACTCTCTTTTTTTAGAATCTGCAAGTGGATATTTGGAGCCATTTGTGGCCGGTGTTGGAAGGGGAAATATCTTCCCATAAAAACTACACAGAAGCATTCTCAGAAACTTCTTTGTGATGTGTGCATTCATCACACAGGGTTGAACTTATCTTTTGATTGAATAGTTGGAAACAATCTTTTAGTAGAAGCTGCAAGTGGATATTTCAAGCCCTAGGAGGCCTATTGTGGAAAAGGAAATATCTTCACATAGAAATACACAGAAGTATTCTGAGAAACTTCTTTGAGATGTGTGAATTCATCTCAGAGAGTGGAACCTTTCTTTTGATTGAGCAGTTTTGAAATACTCTTATTGTAGAATTTGCAGGTGGATATTTAGAGCGTTTTGAGGCCTACGGTTTAAAAAGAAAAATCTTCACATAAAACTACTAAGAAGCATTCTGAGAAACTTCTTTGTGATGTGTGCATTCATCTCACAGAGTTGAACCTAACATTTGATAGAGCAGTTTTGAAACATTCTTTTTGTAGAATCTGCAAATGGATATTTGGAGCCCTTTGCGGCCTATGGTGGAAAAGGATATATCTTCACATAAAAACTACACAGTAGCATTCTGAGAAACCTCTTTGTGATGTGTGCATTCAACTCACAGAGTTGAACCTATCTTTGATAGAGCAGTTTTGATGCTCTCCTTTTTAGAATCTGCAAGTGGATATTTGGAACCCTTTCGGCCAATGGAGACATAAAAAATATCTTCAAAAAAAAACTTCACAGAAGCATTCTGAGAAACTTCTTTGTGATGAGTGCATTCATCTCACAGAGTTAAACCTCTCTTTTGATTGAGCAGTCTGGAAACACTCTTTTTGTAGAATCTGCAAGTGGATATTTGGAGCACTTTGTGGCCTATTGTGGAAAAGGAAACATCTTCACATAAAACTACACAGAAGCATTATCAGAAACTCATTTGTTTTGTGTGCATTCATCTTACAGAGTTGAACCTATCTTTTGATTGAGCAGTTTTGACACTCTTTTTGTAGAATCTGCAAGTGGATATTTGGGGCCCTTTGAGGCCTCTGGTGGAGAAGGAAATATCTTCACATAAAAATTACACAGAATCATTCTGAGAAATTTCTTTATGATGAGTGCATCCAAGTCGCAGAGTTGAACCTATGTTTTATAGAGCAGTTTTGAAACTCTCTTTTATAGAAACTGTAAGTGGTTATTTGGAGCCCTTTGTTTCACATGGGGGAAAAGGAACTATCTTCCAATAAAAACTACACAGAAGCATTCTAGAAACTTCCTTGTGAGGTGTGCATTAATCTCACAGAGTTGAGTCTTTCATTTGATTGAGCAGTTTTGCAACACTCTTTTTGTAGAATCTGCAAGTGGATATTCAGAGCTCTTTGACTTCCATTGTGGAAAAAGAAATATCTTCACAGAAAAACTACACAGACGCATTCTCAGAAATTTCTTGGTGATGTGTGGATTCTTCTCACAAAATTGAACATTTCCTTTGAATGAGCAGTTTGGAAACACTCTTTTCATAGAATCTGCAAGTGGATATTCGGAGCGCTTCGAGGCCTATGGTGGAAAAGGAAATATCTTCACATAAAAACTACACAGAAGCATTCTCAGAAACTTCTTTGTGATGTGTGCGATTAACTCACGGAGTTGAAGCTATCTTTTGATAGAGCAGTTTTGAAACTCCCTTTTTGTAGAATCTGCAAGTGGATATTTGGAGCTCTTTGCAGCCTGTGTTGGAAAAGGAAATATGTTCACATAAAAACTATGCAGAAGTGTTCTGAGAAACTTATTTGTGATGTGTGCATTCATCAGACTGAGCTGAACCTATCTTTTCATACAGCATTTTTGAAATTCTTTTTTTGTAGAATCTGCAAGTCATTATTTGAAGCCCTTTGTTGACTACGTAGGAAAAGGAAATATCTTCCAATAAAAACTACACAGAAGCAATCTGAGAAACTTCTTTGTGATGTGTGCTTTCACTCACAGAATTGAAGACTTCATTTGATGCAGCAATTTTGAAATATTCGTTTTGTAGGATCTGCAAGTGGATATTTGGAGTGCTTTGGGTTCTCTTGTGGAAAAGGAAATATCTTCACATAAAAACTACACAGATGCATTCTGAGAAACTTGTTTGTGATGTGTGCATTTACCTCACATAGTTGAACATTTCTTTTGATTGAGCAGTTTGGAAACACTCTTTTTGTAGAATCTGGAAGTTGATATTTGGAGCGCTTTGAGGCCAATGGTGGAAAAGGTAATATCTTCACATAAAAACTACACAGAAGCATTCTGAGAAACTTCTTTGTGATGTGTGCATTCAGCTCACATAGTTAAACCTTCTTTTGATAGAGTAGTTTTGAAACTTTCTTTTGGTAGAAACTGTAACTTTTTATTCGGAGCCCTTTGTGGCTGTTGGTGGAAAAGGAAATATCTTCCTATAACAACTACACATAAGTATTCTGAGAAACTTATGGGTGATGTGTGCATTCATCTCACAGAGTTGAAAGTTTCATTTGATTGAGCAGTTTTGAAGCACTCTTTTTGTAGAATCTGCACGTGGATATTAGGAGACCTTTGTGGCCTATGGTAGAAAAGGAAAAATCTTCACATAAAAGCTACACAGAAGAATTCTCAGAAACTTCTTCACATAAAAATTTAACAGAATCATTCTGAAAAAATTCTTTGTGATGTGTGCATTCAACTCACAGAGTTGAACCTGTCATTTGATAGAGCAGTTTTGAAACTCTTTTTGTAGACTCTGCAAGTGATTACTTGGAGTCCTTTGTGGCCTATGGTGGAAAAGGAAATATCCTCCTATAAAAACTGCACAGAAGCATTCTGAGAAACTTCTTTGTGATGTGTGAATTCCTCCCACATATTTCAACATATTTTTTGATAGAGCAGTTTTGAAATGCTCTTTTTGTATAATCTGCAGGTGGATATTTGGAGCCCTTTGTGGCATATGATGGAAAGAAAAATATCTTCACATAAAAACTACACAGAAGCATTGAGAAATCTCTTTGTGATGTGTGCATTCAACTCACAGAGTTGAACCTTTTTTTAGTTGGAGCAGTTTTGAAATTCTCTTTTTGTAGAATCTGCAAGTGGATATTTGGAGACCTTTGCGGCCCATGCTGGAAAACGAAATATCTTCAATAAAAAGTACACCAAGGCATTCTGAGAAACTACTTTGTGATGTGTACATTCATCTCACAGAGTTAAACTTCTCTTTTGATTGAGCAGTTTGAAAACGCTCTTTTTGTAGAATCTGCAAGTGGATATTTGGAGTGCTTTGTGGCCTATGGTTTAAAAGGAAAAATCTTCACATAAAAATTACACTGAATCAATCTGAGAAACATCTTTGTGATGTGAGCATTCATCACACAGAGATGAACCGATCTTTTAGTAGAGCATTTTTGAAACTCCCTTTTGTAGAATCTACAAGTTAATATTTGGAGCTCTTTGCGGTCTATGGTGGAAAAGGAAATATCTTCACATGAAAACTACACAGATGCATTCTGAGAAACTTGTTTGTCATGTGTGTATTCATCTCACATAGTTGAACATCTCTTTTCATTTAGCAGTTTTGAAACACGCTTTTTGTAGAATCTGCAAGTGGATATTTGGAGTGCTTTGAGGACTATTGTGGAAAAGGAAATATCTTCACATTAAAAGTACACAGAAGAATACTCAGAAACTTCTTGGTGATGTGTGCATTCATCACACAGAGTTGAACCCTTCTTTTGATTGAGCAGTTTGGAAACACTCTTTTAGCATACTATGCAAGTGGATATTTTTAGCCCTTGGAGGCCTACTGTGGAAAAGGAAATATCTTCACATAAAAACCACACAGAAGCATTATGAGTAACTTCTTTTTGATTGTGCATTCATCTCACAGATATGAACCTTTCTTTGGTTTGAGCAGTTTTGAAACACTCTTTTTCTAGAATCTGCAAGTGGATATTTGGTGCGCTTTGAAGCCTATTGTGGAAAACGAAATATCTTCACATAAAAACTGAACATAAGCATTCTGAGAAACTTTGTGGTGCATGCATTCATCTGACAGGGTTGAACCTATCTTATGATTGAGCAGTTTTGAAACACTCTTTTTGTAGCATCTGCAAGTGGATATTTTGAGTGTTTTGAGGCCAATGGTGGAAAAGGAATTATCTTCCCATAAAAACTACACAGAAGCATTCTGAGAAACTTCTTTGTGATATGTGCTTTCAACTCACAGAGTTGAACCTATCTTTTGATAGAGCAGTTTTGAAACTCTCTTTTAGTAGTATCTGCAAGTGAATATTTTGATACCTTTGTGGCCTATAATGTAAATGGATATATCTTCACATAAAAACTAAACAGAAGCATTGTGAGAAACTTCTTCATTTTGTATGCATTCATCACACAGACTTGAACCTTTCTTTTGATTGAGCACTTTTGAAACACTCTTTTTGTAGAATCTGCAAGTGGATATTTGGGTCACTTTGAGGCCTAAGGTGGAGAAGGAAATATCTTCACATAAAAACTACATGGAAGCATTCTGAGAAATTTCTTTATGATGTGTACATTCATCCCACAGAGTTGAACCATTCTTTTGATTGAGCAGTTTGGAAACACTCTTTAGTAGAACCTGCTAGTGGATATTTGGAGTCCTTTGAAGTCTGTTGTGGAAAAGGAAATATCTTCACATAAAAACTACACAGAAGCATTCTCAAACACTTCTTTATGATGTGTGCATTCATTTCACAGAGTTGGACTTTTGTTTTGATTGAGCATTTTGGAAACAATCTTTTAGTAGAATCTGCACGTGGATATTTGGAGCCCTTGGAGGCCTATTGTTCAAAAGGAAATATCTTCACATAAAAACTACACAGAAGCATTCTGAGAAGCTTCCTTGTGATGTCTGAATTCATATCACAGAGCTGAACCATTCTTTTCTTTGAGCAGTTTTGAAACACTCTTTTTGTAGAATCTGCTAGTGGATATTTGGTGAGCTTTTAGGCTGATGGTGGAAAAGGAAATATCTTCACAGAAAAACTACACAGAAGCATTCTGAGGAACTTCTTTGTGATGTGTGCATTCATCTCACACAGTTGAACCTCTCTTTTGATACAGCAGTTTTGAAACTCTCTTTTTGTAGTATCTGCAAGTGGATATTTGGAGCGCTTTTAGGCCTATTGTGGAAAAAGAAATATCTTCACATAAAAACTACATAGAAGCATTCTGAGAAACTTCTTTGTGATGTGAGCATTCATCTCACAGAGTTGAACATTTGTTTTGATTGAGCAATTTCGAAAAACACTTTTCGAAGAATCTGCAAGTGGATATTTGGAGTGCTTTGAGGCCCATGGTGTAAAAGAAAATATCTTCACATAAAAACTACACAGAAACATTCTCAGAAACTCCTTTGTTTTGTGTGCATTCATTTCGCAGAGTTGAATATTTCTTTTGATTGTGCAGTTTTGAAAAACTCTTTTTTCTTAGAATCTGCAAGTGGATATTTGGAGCCCTTTGTGTCCGGTGGTGGAAGGGGAAATATCTTCCCATATAGACTACACAGAAGCATTCTCAGAAACTTCTTTGTGATGTGTGCATTCATCACACAGAGTTGAAACATTCTTCTGATTGAGCAGTTTGCAAAAACTCTTTTAGTAGAATCTGCAAGTGGATATTTGGAGCCCTAGGAGGCCTAATATGGAAAAGAAAATATCTTCACATGAAAAGTACACAGAAGGATTCTGATAAGCTTCTTTGTGATGTGTGCATTCTTCTCACTGAGTTGAACCTATGTTTTGATAGAGCAGTTTTGAAACTCTCTTTTTGTAGAATCTGAAACTGTATATTTGGAGCCGTTTGTGGCCTATGGCAGAAAACGATATATCTTCACACAAAAATTACACAGAAGCATTCTTAGAAGGTTCTTTGTGATGTGTGCATTCAACTCACGGAGTTGAACCTATCTTTTGATAGAGCAGTTCTGAAACTCTCTTGTTCTAGAATCTGCAAGTGGATATTTGGAGGCCTTTCCCACCTATGGTGGAAAAGGAAATATCTTCACATAAAAACTATGCAGAAGCATTCTGAGAAACTTCTTTGTGATGTGTGCATTCATCTCACAGAGTTGAAACTCTCTTTTGACTGAGCAGTTTGGAAACACTCTTTTTGTAGAATCTTCAATGGGATATTTGGAGCGTATTGAGGCCTATTTTGGAAAACGAAATATCTTCACATAAAAGCCACACAGAAGCATTCTCAGAAACTTCTTTGTTATGTGTGCATTCATCTCACTGAGGTGAACTTTTCTTTTGATTGACCAGTTTTGAAACACTCTCTTTGGAGAATCTGCAAGTGGATATTTGGAGCGCTTTGAGGCCTACAATGGAAAAGGAAATATCTTCACATAAAAACTACACAGAAGCATTCTCAGAAACTTCTGTGTGATGCGTGCATTCAACTCGCAGAGTTAAACCTATCTTTTGATAGAGCAGTTTTGAAATTTTCTTTTTGTAGAATCTGTAAGTGGATATTGGGAGCCCTTTGTGGCCGATGGTGGAAAATAAAATATCTTCCCATAAAAACTGCATAGGAGCATTATGAGAAACTTCTTTGTGATGGCTGCATTCATCTCACAGATTTGAAACTTTCATTTGATTGAGCAGTTTTGAAACAGTCTTTTGGTAGAATCTGCAAGTCGATATTTGGAGCGCTTTGATGCCTATTTTGGAAAAGCAAATATCTTCACATAAAAACCACACAGAAGCATTCTCAAAAACTTCTTTGTTTTGTGTCCATTCATCTCACAGAGTTGAACCTTTCTTTTGATTGAGCAGTTTTGAAACACTCTTTTTGTAAAATCTGCAAGGGGATGTTAGGAGCCCTTTGAGTAATTTGTGGAAAAGGAAATATCTTCACATAAAAACTACACAGAAGCATTATCAGAAACTTCTTTGTGATGTGTGCTTTCATCTCACAGAGATGAAATTTTCATTTGATTGAGCAGTTTTGAAACACTCTTTTCATCGAATCTGCAAGTGGATATCTGGAGTGCTTTGAGGCCTATTGTGGAAAAAGAAATATCTTCATATAAAAACTGCACAGAAGCATTCTGAGAAACTTCTTTGTGATGTGTGCATTAAAGTCACAGATTTGAATACTTCATTTGAATGTGGAGTTTCAAAACACTCTTTTTGTAGAATCTGCAAGTGGATCTTTGGAGTGCTTTGAGGTCTATTGTGGAAAAGGGAATATCTTCACATAAAAACTACACAGAATCATTCTCAGAAACTTCTTTGTGATGTGTGAATTGACATCACAGAGTTCAACTTTTCTTTTCATTGAGCAATTTAGAAACACACTTTTAGTAGAATCTGCAAGTGGATATTTAGAGTCCTTGGAGGCCTAGCGTGGAAACGGAAATATCTTCACATAAAAACTACACAGAATATTTCTCACAAACTACTTGGTGATGTGTGCATTCATCTCACAGAGTTTAAATTTTCTTTTGATTGAGCAGTTTTGAAATATTCTTTTTGTAGAATCTGGAAGTAGATATTTGGAGCACTTTGTGGCCTATTGTGGAAAAGGAAATATCTTCACATAAATACTACACAGAAGCATTCTGAGAAACTACTTTGTGATGTCTGCATTCATCTCACAGAGTTGAACCTAACTTTTGATAGAGCAGTTTTGATACTCTATTTTGTAGAAATCTGCAGGTGGATATTTGGAGCCTTATGCGGCCTATGGTGGAAAAGGAAATATCTTCACATAAAAATTACACAGAAGCATTCTGAGAAACTTCTTTGTGATTTGTTCATTCATCTCATAGAGTTGAAACTCTCTTTTGATTGAGCAGTTTTTAGACACTCTTTTTGTAGAATCTGCAAGTGGACATTTAGAGCACTTTGAGGCCTCTTGTGGAAAAGGTAATATCTTCACATAAAAATTAGACCGAAGCATTCTCAGAAACTTCTTTGTGATGTGTGCATTCAACTCACATAGTTGAGCCTTTCTTTTGATTGAGCAGTTTTGAAACACTCTTTTTGTAGAATGTGCTAGTGGATGTTTGGAGTGCTTTGAGGACTATGGTGGAATAGAAAATATCTTCACATAAAAACTACACAGAAGTATTCTCAGAAAAGTCTCTGTTTTGTGTGCATTCATCTCACAGAGCTGAACCTTTCTTTTAATTGAGCAGTTTTGAAACACTCTTTTTGGAGAATCTGCAAGTGGATATTAGGAGGGCTTTGAGTCCTATGGTGGAAAAGGATATATCTTCACATAAAAAGTACAGAGAAACATTCTGAGAAACTACTTTGTGATGTGTGCATTCATCTCACAAAGTTGAACATTTCATTTGATAGAGCAGTTTCGAAACACTCTTTTTGTAGAATCTGCAAGTGGATATTTGGAGCCCTTTGCTGCCTATGGTGGAAAAGGAAATATCTTCAGATAAAACCTACACGGAAGCATTTTCAGAAACTTCTTTGTGATGTATGCTTTCATCTCACAGTGTGGAACATTTCTTTCTTTTATTATTATTTAAGTTTTAGGGTACATGTGCACAATGTGCAGTTTAGTTACATATGTATACATGTGCCATGCTGGTGTGCTGCACCCATTAAATCTTCATTTAGCATTAGGTATATCTCCTAATGCTATCCCACCCCACTCACCCCACCCCACAAGGGTCCCCAGAGTGTGATTTTCCCCTTCCTGTGTCCATGTGTTCTCATTGTTCAATTCCCATCTGTGAGTGAGAACATGCGGTGTTTGGTTTTTTGTCCTTGCGATAGTTTGCTGAGAATGGTGATTTCTAATTTCATCCATGTCCCTACAAAGGACATGAACCCATCATTTTTTATGGCTGCATAGTATTCCATGGTGTATATGTGCCACATTTTCTTAATCCAGTCTATCATTATTGGACATTTGGGTTGGGTCCAAGTCTTTGCTATTTTGAATAGAGCCGCAATAAACATACGTGTGCATGTGTCTTTATAGCAGCATGATTTATAGTCCTTCGGGTATATACCCTGTAATGGGATTGGTGGGTCAAATGGTATTTCTAGTTCTAGATCCCTGAGGAATCACCACACTGACTTCCATAAGGGTTGAACTAGTTTACAGTCCCACCAACAGTGTAAAAGTGTTCCTATTTCTCCACATCCTCTCCAGCACCTGTTGTTTCCTGACTTTTTAATGATTGCCATTCTAACTGGTGTGAGATGGTATCTCATTGTGGTTTTGATTTGCATTTCTCTGATGGCCAGTGATGATGAGCAATTTTTCATGTGTCTTTTGGCTGCATAAGTGTCTTCTTTTGAGAAGTGTCTGTTCATATCCTTTGCCCAGTTTTTGATGGGATTGTTTCTTTTTTCTTGTAAATTTGTTGGAGTTCATTGTAGATTCTGGATATTAGCCCTTTGTCAGATGAGTACGTTGTGAAAATTTTCTCCCATTTTGTAGGTTGCCTGTTCACTCTGATGGTAGTTTCTTTTGCTGTGCAGGAGCTCTTTAGTTTAATTAGATCCCATTTGTCAGTTCTGGCTTTTGTTGCCATTGCTTTTGGTGTTTTAGACATGAAGTCTTTGGCCATGTCTATGTCCTGAATGGTAATGCCTACGTTTTCTTCTAGGGTTTCTATGGTTTTAGGTCTAACATTTAAGTCTTTAATCCATCTTGAATTAATTTTTATATAAGGTGTAAGAAAAGGATCCAGTTTCATCTTTCTACATATGGCTAGCCAGTTTTCCCAGCACCATTTATTAAATAGGGAATCATTTCCCCATTGCTTGTTTTTCTCAGGATTGTCAAAGATCAGATATTTGTAGATATGTGGCATTATTTCTGAAGGCTCTGTTCTGTTCCATGGATTTATATCTCTGTTTTGGTACCTGTACCATGCTGTTTTGGTTACTGTAGCGTTGTAGCATAGTTTGAAGTCAGGTGGTGTGATGCCTCCAGTTTTGTTCTTTTGGCTTAGAATTGGCTTGGCAATGTGGGCTCTTTTTTAGTTCCATATGAACTTTAAAGTAGTTTTTTCCAATTCTGTGAAGAAAGTCATTGGTAGCTTGATGGGGATGGCATTGAAACTATAAATTACCTTGGGCAGTATGGCCATTTTCACGATATTGATACTTCCTACCCATGAGCATGTAATGTTCTTCCATTTGTTTGTATCCTCTTTTATTTCCTTGAGCAGTGGTTTGTAGTTCTCCTTGAAGAGGTTATTCACGTCCCTTGTAAGTTGGAGTCCTAGGTATTTTATTCTCTTTGAAGCGATTGTGAATGAGAGTTCACTCATGATTTGGCTCTCTGTTTGTCTGTTATTGGTGTATAAGAATGCCTGTGATTTTTATACATTGATTTTTTTATCCTGAGACTTTGCTGAAGTTGCTTGTCAGCTTAAGGAGATTTTGGGCTGAGACAATGGGGTTTTCTAGATATAAAATCATGTCATCTGCAAACTGAGACAACTTGACTTCCTCTTTTCCTAATTGAATACCCTTTATTTCCTTCTCCTGCCTAATTGCCCTGACAGGAACTTCCAACACTATGTTGAATAAGAGTGGTGAGAGAGGGCATCCCTGTCTTGTGCCAATTTTCAAAGGGAATGCTTCCAGTTTTTGCCCATTCAGTATGATATTGGTTGTGGGTTTGTCATAGATAGCTCTTAATATTTTGAGATACATCCCAACAATACCTAATTTATTGAGAGATTTTAGCATGAAGGGTTGTTGAATTTTGTCAAAGGCTTTTTCTGCATCTATTGAGATAATCATGTTGTTTTTGTCTTTGGTTCTGTTTATATGCTGGATTACATTTATTGATTTGCATATATTGAACCAGCCTTGCATCCCAGGGATGAAGCCCATTTGATCATGGTGGATAAGCTTTTTGATGTGCTGCTGGATTCAGTTTGCCAGTATTTTATTGAGGATTTTTGCATCAATGTTCATCAGGGATATTGGTCTAAAATTCTCTTTTTTGGTTGTGTCTCTGCCCGGCTTTGGTATCAGGATGATGCTGGCCTTATAAAATGAGTGAGGCAGGATTCCCTCTTTTTCTATTGATTGGAATAGTTTCAGAAGTAATGGTGCCAGTTCCTCCTTGTACATCTGGTAGAATTCGGCTGTGAATCCATCTGGTCCTGGGCTCTTTTTTTTGGTAAGCTATTGATTATTGCCACAATTTCAGAGCCTGTTATTGGTCTATTCAGAGAGTCAACTTCTTCATGGTTTAGTCTTGGGAGGGTTTATGTGTTGAGGAATTTATCCATTTCTTCTAGATTTTCTGGTTTATTTGCGTAAAGGTGTCTGTAGTTTTCTCTGTTTGTACTTTGTATTTCTGAGGGCTTGGTGGTGATATCCCCTTTGTCATTTTTTATTGCTTCCATTTGAGTCTTCTCTCTTTTCTTCTTTATTAGTCTTGCTAGCAGTCTATCAATTTTGTTGATCTTTTCAAAAAACCAGCCCCTGGATTCACTAATTTTTTGAAGGGTTTTTTGTGTCTCTATTTCCTTCAGTTCTGCTCTGATTTTAGTTATTTCTTTCCTTCTTCTAGCTTTTGAAAGTGTTTGCTCTGGCTTCTCTAGCTCTTTTAGTTGTGATGTTAGGGTGTCAATTTTGGATCTTTCCTGCTTTCTCTTGTGGGCATTTAGTGCTCTAAATTTCCCTCTACACACTGCTTTGAATGTGTCCCAGAGATTCTGGTATGTTGTGTCTTTGTTCTGGTTGGTTTTAAAGGACATCTTTATATTTGTCTTCATTTCGTTATGTACCCAGTAGTCATTCAGGAGCAGGTTTTCAGTTTCCATGTAGTTGAGCAGGTTTTGAGTGAGTTTCTTAACCCTGATTCTTAGTTTGCTTGCACTGTGGTGTGAGAGACAGTTTGTTATAATTTCTGATTCTTTACAGTTGCTGAGAAGAGCTTTAGTTCCAACTATGTGGTCAATTTTGGAATATGTGTGGTGTGGTGCTGAAAAAAATGTATATTCTGTTGATTTGGGGTGGAGAGTTCTGTAGATATCTATTAGGTCTGCTTGGTGCAGAGCTGAGTTTAATTCCTGGGTATCCTTGTTAACTTTCTGTCTCACTGATCTGTCTAATATTGACAGTGGGGTGTTAAAGTCTCCCATTATTATTGTGTGGGAGTCTAAGTCTCTTTGTAGGTCACTCAGGACTTGCTTTGTGAATCTGGGTGCTCCTGTATTGGGTGCATATATATTTAGGATAGTTAGCTCTTCTTCTTGAATTGATCGCTTTACCATTATGTAATGGCATGCTTTGTCTCTTTTGATCTTTGTTGGTTTAAAGTATGATTTATTAGAGACTAGGATTGCAACTCCTGACTTTTTTTTTGTTTTCCATTTGCTTGGTAGATCTTCTTCCATCCTTTTATTTTGAGCCTATATGTGTCTCTGCACGTGAGATGGGTTTCCTGAATACAGCACACTGATGGGTCTTGACCCTTTGTCAATTTTGCCAGTCTGTGTCTTTTAATTGGAGCATTTAGTCCATTTACATTTAAAGTTAATATTGTTATGTGTGAATTTGATCCTTTCATTATGATGGTAGCTGGCTATTTTGCTCTTTAGTTGATGCATTTTCTTCCTAGCCTCGATGGTCTTTACAATTCGGCATGATTTTGCAGTGGCTGGTACCTGTTGTTCCTTTCCATGTTTAGTGCTTCCTTCAGGAGCTCTTTTAGGGCAGGCCTGGTGGTGACAAAATCTCTCAGCATTTGCTTTTCTGTAAAGTATTTTATTTCTCCTTCACTTGTGAAGCTGAGTTTGGCTGGGTCTGAAATTCTGGATTGAAAATTCTTTTCTTTAAAAATGTTGAATATTCGCCCCCACTCTCTTCTGGCTTGTAGAGTTTCTGCAGAGAGATCCGCTGTTAGTCTGATGGGCATCCCTTTGTGGGTAACCCGACTTTTCTCTCTGGCTGCCCTTAACATTTTTTTCTTTATTTCAACTTTGGAGAATCTGACAATGATGTATATTGGAGTTGCTCTTCTCGAGGAGTATCTTTGTGGCGTTCTCTGTATTTCCTGAATCTGAATGTTGGCCTGCCTTGCTAGATTGGGGAAGTTCTCCTGGATAATATCCTGCAGAGTGCTTTCCAACTTGGTTCCATTCTCCCCGTCACTTTCATGTACACCAGTGAGACGTAGATTTGGTCTTTTCACATAGTCCCATATTTCTTGGAGGCTTTTTTCATTTCTTTTTATTCTTTTTTCTCTAAACTTCCCTTCTCACTTCATTTCATTCATTTCATCTTCCATCACTGATACCCTTTCTTCCAGGTGATTGCATCGGCTCCTGGGGCTTCTGCATTCTTCAGATAGTTCTCGAGCCTTGACTTTCAGCTCCATCAGCTCCTTTAAGCACTTCTCTTATTGTTTATTCTAATTATACATTCGTCTAAATTTTTTTCAAAGTTTTCAACTTCTTTGCCTTTGGTTTGAATTTCCTCCTTTAGCTTGGAGTAGTTTGATCATCTGAAGGCTTCTTCTCTCAACTCATCAAAGTCATTCTCCGCCCAGCTTTGTTGCATTGCTGGTGAGGAGCTGCCTTCCTTTGCAGGAGGAGAGGTGTTCTGCTTTTTAGAGTTTCCAGTTTTTCTCCTCTGTTTCTTCCCCAGCTTTGTCATTTTATCTACTTTTGGTCTTTGATGATGGTGATGTACAGGTGGGTTTTTCGTGTGGATGTCCTTTCTGTTTGTTAGTTTTCCTTCTAACAGACAGGACCCTCAGCTGCAGGTCCGTTGGAGTTTGATAGAGGTCCATTCCAGACCCTGTTTGCCTGGGTACCAGCTGCGGTGGCTGCAGAACCGTGAATTTTGGTGAATCGTGAATGCTGCTGTCTGATCATTCCTCTGGAAGTTTTGTCTCAGAGGAGTACCCAGCTGTGTGATGTGTCAGTCTGCCCCTACTGAGGGGTGCCTCCCAGTTAGGCTGTTCGGAGACCAGGGGTCAGGGACCCACTTGAGGAGGCAGTCTGCCCATTCTCAGATATTCATCTGCATGCTGGGAGAACCACTGCTCTATTCAAAGCTGTCAGACAGGGACATTTAAGTCTTCCGAGGTTACTGCTGTCTTTTTGTTTGTCTGTGCCCTGCCCCTAGAGGTGGAGCCTGAAGAGGCAGGCAGGCCTCCTTGAACTGTGGTGGGCTCCACCCAGTTCCATCTTCCCAGCTGCTTTGTTTACCTAAGCAATCCTGGGCAATGGCGGACGACCCACTCCCAGCCTCACTGCCGCCTTGCTGTTCAATCTCAGACTGCTGTGCTAGCAATCAGTGAGACTCCATGGGTGTAGGACTCCCAAGCCAGGTGTTGGATATAATCTCCTGGTGCACCGATTTCTAAGCCTGTCGAAAAAGCACAGTATTGTTGTGGGAGTGACCTGAATTCCCAGGTGCCTTCTGTCACCACTTTCTTTGACTAGGTAAGGGAACTCCCTGAACCCTTGCACTTCCCAAGTGAGGTAATTCCTCTCCCTGCTTTGGCTCACACATGGTGAGCTGGACCGGCTGTCTTGCACTCACAGTCTGGAACTTCCAAAAGAGATGAACCACTTACCTCAGATGGAAATGCAGAAATCACCCATCTTCAGTGTCACTCATGCTTGGAGCGGTAGACCAGAGCTGTTCCAATTCAGCCATCTTGGCTGCCCTCTCTGAACCTTTCTTTTGATTGAGCAGTTGGGAAACATTCTTTTTGTAGAATCTCCAAGTGGATATTTGGAGCGCTTTGAGGCCTACTGTGGAAAAGGAAATATCTTCATATAAAAACTAGACAGAAGCATTCTGAGAAACTTCTTGGTGATATGTGCATTCGTCTAAAAGAATTGAACCTTTCTTTCAATTGAGCAGTTATGAAACACTCTTTTCATAGCTTCTGCAAGTGGATATTTGAAGCCCTTTGTGGCCAGCGGAGGAGGGGAAATATCTTCCCATATAAACTACACAGATGCATTCTGAGAAACTACTTTGTGATGTGTGCATTCATCACACAGAGTTGAACTTTTCTTTTGATTGAGCAGTTTGTAAACTCTTTTAGTAGAATCTGCAAGAGGATATTTGGAGCCCTTTGAGGCCTATTGTGGAAAAGGAAATATCTTCATGTAAAAAGTACACAGAAGAATTCTGAGAAACTTAATTGTGATGTATGCATTCATCTCACAGTGTTGAACCATATCTTTGATTGAGCAGCTTTGAAACACTCTTTTTGTAGAATCTGCAAGTGGATAATTGGAGGGCTTTGAGGCCTATTGCGGAAAATGAAATATCTTCACATAAAAACTACACGGAAGCATTCTGAGAAACTACTTTGTGATGTGTGCATTCATCTCACAGAGTTGAACCTTTCTTTTGATTGAGCAGTTTGGAAACACTCTTGTTGTAGAGCCTGCAACTGGATATTTGGAGCGCTTTGAGGCATATGGTGGAAAAGGAAATATCTTCACATAAAAACTACATAGAAGTATTCTGAGAAACTTCTTTGTGATTTGCGCAATCAACTCTCAAGAGTTGAACCTATCTGTTGATAGAGGAGTTTTAAAACTCTCTTTTTGTATAATCTGCAAGAAGATATTTGGAACCCTTTGAAGCCAATAGTGGAGAAGGAAATATCTTCACATAAAAACTACACATAAGAATTTTGAGATACTCCTTTGTGATGTGTGCATTCAACTCACAAATTTGAACATATCTTTTGATGGAGCAGTTTTGAAACTCTCATTTTGTATAATCTTCAAGTCGATATTTGGAGCGCTTTGAGGCCTATTGCAGAAAAGGAAATATCTTCACATAAAAACTACACAGAAGCATTCTGAGAAACGTCTTTGTGATGTGTGTATTCATCTCACAGATTTGAAACTTTCTTTGAATGAGCGGTTTTGAAACACTCTTTTAGTAGGATCTGAACGTGGATAATTGGAAGGCTTTCTGGCCTGTGGTGGAAAAGGAAATATCTTCACACAAAAACTAGACAGAAGCATTCTCATAAACTTCATTGTGAAGTGTGCACTGAACCCACAGATTTGACCCTTTCCTTTGATGGAATAGATGGAGACAGTCTTTTTGTAGTATCTGCCAATGGATATTTGGAGCACCTTGAGGCTTATTTGAAAAGGAAATGTCTGCATATAAAAAGTTGAGAGAAGCATTCTGAGAAACTTCTTTGTGATGTGTGCATTCATCACATATAGTTGAAACATTCTTTTGATTGAGCAGTTCGGAAACACTTTTTTTGTAGAATCTGCAAGTGTATATTTGGAGCGATTTGAGTCCTGTGGAGGAAAAGGAAATATCTTCAAACAAAAACCAGACAGGACAATTCTCAGAAACTTCTTTGTGATATGTGCATTGAATTCAGAGAGTTGAACCTTTCTTATGATTGAAAAGCTCGGAAACAGTCTTTCTGTAGTATCTGCAAATGGATATTTGGAGCGCTTTTTGGCCTATAGTTGAAAAGGAAATATCTTCACCTAAAAACTAGACAGAAGCATTCTGAGAAACTTCTTTGTGTCATATGCATTCATCTCACAGAGTTGATCATTTCTTTTGATTGAGCAATTTGGAAACCCTTTTTGTAGAATCTGCAAGTGGATATTTGGAGTGCTTTGAGGACTATGGTGGAAAAGGAAATATTTTCACATAAAAACAAGACAGAAGCATTCTCAGAAACTTCTTTGTGATGTGTGCATTCAGCTCACAGTGTTGAACATTTCTTTGGATTGAGCAGTTTGGAAACAGTCTTTTAGTGGAATCTGCAAGTGGAAATTTGGAGTACTTTGAGGACTCTGTTGGAAAAGGAAATATCTTCACATAAAAACGGGACAGAAGCATTCTCAGATGCTTCCTTGTGATGTGTGCATTCAACTCACAGAGTTGAACCTTCCTTTTGATTGAGCAGTTTGGAAACTCTCTTTTTCTAGTGTCTGCAAATGGACATTTGGAGCCTTTTGAGGCCTATACTTGAAAAGGAAATATTGTCACATAAAAACTAGACAGAAGCAATCTGAGAAACTTCTTTGTGACGTGTGCAATCATCTCACATGGTTGAACCTTTCTTTTGATTAAGCAGTTTTGAAACACTATTTTTGTCTAATCTGCAAGTGGATACTTGGAGCGCTGTGAGGCCTATGGTGGAATAGGAAATATCTTCACATTAAAACCAGACAGAAGCCTTCTCAGAAACTCCTTTGTGATGTGTGCATTCATCACACAGAGTTGAACCTTTGTTTTGATTGAGCAGTTTTGAAACACTCTTTTTGTAGGATCTGCAAGTGGATATTTGGAGCACTTTGAGGCTTATGGTGGAATAGGAAACTCTTCACATTAATACGAGACAGAAGCATGCTCAAAAACTGTTTTGTGATGTGTGCATTGAACTCACAGAGTTGAACCTGTCTTTTGATTGAACAGTTCGGAAACACTCTTTTTGTAGAATCTCCAAGTGGATATTTGGAGTGCTTTGAGGCCTATGGTGGAAAAGGAAATATCTTGGCATGAAAACTATACAGAAGCATTCTGAGAAACTTCTTTGTGATGCATGCATTCATCTCACATAGTTGAAACTTTCTTTTGATGGAGCAGTTTTGCAACACTATTTTTGTAGAATCTGCAAGTGGATACTTACAGTGCTTTGAGGACCATGGTGGAGAAGGAAATATCTTCGCATAAAAACTACACAGAAGCATTCTCAGAAACTTCTTCGTGTTGTGTGCATTCAACTTACAGAATTGAACATTTCTTTTGATTGAGAAGTTTGGAAAACCCCTTTTTGTAGTATCTGCAAATCGATATTTTGAGCGGTTTAAGGCCAATAGATGAAAAGAAAATATCTTCACATATAGTGTAGACAGAAGCATTCTGAGAAACTTCTTTGTGATGTGTACATTCATCTCACAGAATTGAACCTTTCTTTTGATTGAGCAGTTTGGAAAAACTATTTTTGTAGAATATGAAAGTGGATATTTGAAAGGCTTTGAGGACTATGGTGCAAAAGGAAATATCTTCACATTAAAACTAGACAGAAGCATTCTCAGAAACTTTGTGATGCATGCATTGAAATCAGAGAGTTGAACCTTTCTTTTGATTGAACAGTTACAAAACGGTGTTTTTATAGTATCTTCAAGTGGATATTTCGTGCCATTTGTGGCCCATAGTTGAAAAGGAAATATCTTCACCTATAAACTAGACAGAAGCATTCTGTGAAACTTCTTTCTGATGTGTGCATTCATCTCACAGAGTTGAACCTTTCTTTTGATTGAGCAGTTTGGAAAAACCCTTTTTGCAGAATCTGCAAGTGGATATTTGAAAGGCTTGAGGCCTATGGTGCAAAAGGAAATATCTTCACATTAAAACTAGACAGAAGCATTCTCAGAAACTTCTCTGTGATGCATGCTTTGAAATCAGGCAGTTGAACGTTTCTTTTGATTGAACAGTTACACAACGGTGTTTTTGTAGTATCTGCAAGTGGATATTTGGTGCCATTTGTGGCCCATAGTTGAAAAGGAAATATCTTCACCTATAAACTAGACGGAAGCATTCTGAGAAACTTCTTTCTGATGTGTGCATTCATCTCACAGAGTTGAACCTTTCTTTCAATTGTGCAGTTTGAAAACACTCTTTTTGAATAATCTGCAAGTGGATATTTGGAGCGCTTTGAGGCCTATGGTGCAAAAGGAAATATCTTAACATAAAAACTTGACAGAAGCATTCTCAGAAACTTCTTTGTGATGTGTGCATTCATCTCCCAGAGTTGAACCAGTCTTTTAATTGAGCACTATAGAAAGACTCTTTTTGTAGAATATGCTAGTGGATATTTGGAGGGCTTTGAGGCCTATGGTGGAGAAGGAAATATCTTCACATAAAAATCTCACAGAATCATTCTCAGCAACTTCTTTGTGATGTGTGCATTCATCTTACAGAGCTCAACCTTTCTTTTCATTGAGCAGTTTTGAAACACTCTTTTTGTAGAATCTGCAAGTGGATGCTTGGAGTGCTTTGAGGCCTGTCGTGGAGAAGGAAATATCTTCACATAAAAACTAGACAGAAGCATTCTCAGAAACTTCTTTGTGATGTGTCCATTCAACTCACAGAATTGAACATTTCTTTTCATTGAGCAGTTTGGAAACACCTTTTGGTAGTATCTGCAAATGGATATTTTGAGCGCTTTGAGGTCAATAGTTGAAAAGAAAATACATTCACATAAAAATTAGACAGAAGTATTCCGAGAAACTTGTTTGTGATGTGTGCATTCATCTCACAGAGTTCAACCTTTCATTTGATTAAGCAGTTTGGAAAAACTCTTTTTGTAGTATCTGCAAGTGGATATTTGGAGGGCTTTGAGTCCTATGGTGGAAAATGAAATATCTTCACAGAAAAACTAGGCAGAAGCATTCTGAGAAACTTCTTTGTGATGTGTGCATTGAACTCAAAGAGTTGAAACTTTCTTTTGATTGAACAGTTCAGAAACAGTCTTTTTGTAATATCTGCAAATGGATATTTGGAGCCCTTTGTGGCCTATACTTGAAAAGGAAATATCTTCAACTACAAACTCTACAGAAGCATTCTCAGAAACTTCGTTGTGTTGTGAGCATTCAACTCACAGAGTTGAACGTTTCTTTTGATTGAACAGTTTGGAAACAGTCTCATTGTAGTATCTGCAAATGGATATTTGGAGCGCTTTTTGGCCTATAGTTGAAAAGGAAATATCTTCACATAAAAACTAGACAGAAGCATTCTGAGAAAATTCTTTGTAATGTGTGCATTCATCTCACAGAGTTGAACATTTCTTTTGATTGAGCAGTTTAGAAACACTCTTTTTGTAGAATGTGCTAGTGGATATTTGGAGCGCTTTGAGGCTTAAGGTGGAAAAGGAAATATCTTCAACTAAAAACTACACAGAAGCATTCTCAAGAACTTCTTTGTGATGTGTGCATTCAACTCAAAGAGTTGAACCTTTCTTTCAATTGGGCACTTTTGAAACACTCTTTTTGTAGTACCTGCAAATGGGTATTTGGAGTGCCTTGAGGCCGACAGTTGAAAAGGAAATATCTTCATGTAAAAACAAGACAGAAGCCTTCTGAGAAACTTATTTGTGATGTGGGTATTCTTCTCCCAGATTGAGTAGTTTTGAAACACTCTTCTTGTAGACTCTGCAAATGGAGATTTGGAGCGCTTTGAGTCCTATGGCGGAAAAGGAAATATCTTCATATAAAAACTAAATGGAAGCATTCTGTGAAACAGCTTTGTGATGTATGCGTTCACCTCACAGAGTTGAAACTTTCTTTTGATTGAGCAGTTTTGAAACACACTTTTTGTAGAGTCTGCGAGTGGATATTTGGAGCACTTTGAGGCCTATGGTGGAAAAGGAAATATCTTCACATAAAAACTAGACAGAAGGATTCTCAGAAACTTCTTTGTTATGTGTGCACTCATCTTACAGAGTTGAACCTTTCTTCCAATTGGGCAGTTTAGAAACACTCTTTTTGTGGAATCTGCAAGTGGATATTTGGAGCGCTTTGAGGCCTGTGGCAGAGAAGGAAATATCTACATATGAAAACTAGACAGAAGCATTCTCAGAAACTTCTTTATCATGTGTGCATTCAACTCACAGAATTGAACATTTCTATTGATTGAGCAGATTGGAAACACCTTTTTGTAGTATCTGCAGATGGAAATTTGATTGCATTGAGGCCAATAGTTGAAAAGGAAATATCTTCACATAAAAACTAGACAGAAGCATTCTCAGAAACTTCTTTGTGATGTGTGCATTCATCTCACAGAGTTGACCCTTTCATTTGATTGAGCAGCTGGGAAAACCTCTTTTTGCAGAATCTGCAAGTGATATATGGAGCGCTTTGGGACCTATGGTGGAAAAGGAAATATCTTCATATAAAAACTAGACAGAAGTGTTCTCAGAAACTTCTTTGTGATGTGTGCATTGAACTCACAGAGTTGAACCTTTCTTTTGATTGAACAGTTCAGAAACAGTCTTTTTGTAATATCTGCAAATGGATATTTGGAGGCCTTTCGTGCCTGTACTTGAAAAGGAAATATCTTCAACTAAAAACTAGACAGAAGTATTCTGAGAAACTTCTTTCTGATGTGTGCATCCATCGAAAAGAGTTGAAAATTTCTTTAGATTGATCAGTTTGGAAACGTTCTTTTTGTAAAATCTGCAATTGGATGTTTGGAGCACTTTGAGTCCTAAGGTGGAAGAGGAAATATCTTCACATAAAAAGCAGACAGAAACATTCTCAGAAACTTCTTTGTGATGTGTGCATTCAACTCACAGATTTGAACCTTTCTTTGGATTGAGCAGTTTGGAAACAACTTTTTGTAGTGTCTGTAAATGGATATTTGGATCGCTTTGATGCCAGTAATTGAAAAGGAAATATCTTCACATAAAATGTAGACAGAAGAATTCTCAGAAACATTTTCTGGTGTGTGCATTCATCTCACAGAGTTGAACCTTTCTTTTGATTGATCAGTTTTGAAACACTCTTTTTGTAGAACCTGCAAGTGGATACTTGGAGCTCTTTGAAGTTAATGGTGGAAAAGGAAATATCTTCACATAAAAATTAGCCAGAAGCGTTCTCAGAAACTTCGTTGTGATGTGAGCATTCAAGTCACAGATTTGAATCTTTCTTCTGATTGAACTCTTCGGTAACAGTCTCATTGTAGTATCTGCAAATGGATATTTGGAGTGCTCTGAGGCCTATAGTTGAAAAGGAAATATCTTCACATAAAAACTAGACAGAAGCATTCTCAGAAACTTCTTTGTGATGTGTTCATTCATCTCACAGAGTTGAACCTTTCTTTTGATTGAACAGTTTAGAAACCCTCTTTTTGTAGAATCTGCAAGTGTATATTTGGAGCGCTTTGAGGCCTATGATGGAAAAGGAAATATATTCATATGAAAACTACACAGAAGCATTCTCAAAAACTTCTTTGTGACATGTGCATTCTATTCAAAGATTTGAAACTTTCTTTTGATTGAGCAGCTTGGAAACATTCTTCTTGTAGTATCTGCAAATGGATATTTGGAGTGTGTTGAGGCCTAAAGATGAAAAGGAAATATCTTCACACAAAAACTAGACAGAAGACTTCTGAGAAACTTCTTTGTGATATGTGCATTCATCTCACAGAGTTGAACATTTCTTCTGATTGAGCAGTTATGAAACAATCTTTTTGTAGAACCTGCAACTGGAGATTTGGAGCACTTTGTGGCCCATGTTTGAAAAGGAAATATTTTCACATAAAAACTAGACAGCAGCATTCTCAGAAACTTCTTTGTGATGTGTGCATTCATCTCACAGAGTTGAACCTTTCTTTTCATTGAGGAGTTTGGAAAAGCTGTTTTTGTAGTATCTGCAAATGGAAATTTGGAGCGCTTTGCGGCCTATAGCCAAAAAAGTAATATCTTCATATAAATACTAGACAGAAGCATTCTGAGAAACTTCTTTGTGATGTGTGCCTTCATCTCACGGAGTTGAACATTTCTTTTGATTGAGCAGTTTGATACACTCTTTATGTAGAATCTGCAAGTGGATATTTGCAGCACTTTGAGTCCTATGGTGGAAAAGGAAATACCTTCAAATAAAAACTAGACAGAAACATTCTAAGAAACATTTTGTGATGTGTGCATTCAACTCACAGAGTTGAACCTTTCTTTTCATTGAACAGTTTGGAAACACTCTTTTTCTAGTATATGCAGATGGATATTTGGAGCACTTTGAGGACTGTAGTTTAAAAGGAAATATTTTCACTTAAAAACTAGACAGAAGTATTCTGAGAAACTTCTTTGTGATGTTTGCATCCAAGTCACAGAGTTGAACCTTTCTTTTGATTGAGCAGTTTTGAAACACTCTTTTTGTAGTTTCTGCAAAGGTATATTTGGAGCACATTGAGATGCACAGGTGAAAAGGAGATATCTCCACATAAAAACTACACAGAAGGATTCTGAGAAACTTCTTTGTGATGTGTGCATTCATCTCAAAGAATTGAACCCTTCTTTTGATTGAGCAGTTTGGAAACACTCTTTTTGTATAATCTGCAAGTGGATATTAGGAGCGCTTTGAGGCCTTTTGTGGAAAAGGAAATATCTTCACATAAAAATTAGACAGAAACATTCTCAGAAACTTCTCTGTGATGTGTGCGTTGAACTCACAGAGTTGAACCTTTCTTTTGATTAAGCAGTTTGGAAACACTCTTTTTGTTGTATCTGCAAATGGATATTTGGAGAGCTTTGAGGCCTGTAGCTGAAATGGAAAAATCTTCACATAAATACTAGACAGAAGCATTCTGAGAAACTCCTTTGTTATGTGTGCATTCATCTCACAGAGTTGAACATTTCTTTTGATTTAGCATTTTTGAAACACTTTTTATAGAATGTACAAGTGGATATTTTCTGCGATTGCTCCCTCTAGTGGAAAATGAAATATCTTCACATACAGATTATTCAGAAATATCCTCAGAATCTTCTTCGTGATGTGTGCATTCAACTCCTAGAGTTGAACTTTTCTTTTGATTGAGCAGTTTGGAGCACTCTTTTTGTAGTGTCTGAAAATTGATATTTGGAGCGCTTTGCGGTCTATAGCTGAAAAGGAAATGTCTTCATATAAAAGCTAGACAGAATCATTCTGAGAAACTTCTTTGTGATGTGTGCGTACATCTCACAGAGATGAACTTTCTTTTGATTGAACAATTTGGAAACACTCTTTTTGTAGTATCTGTAAAAGGATATTTGGAGCAGTGTGAGGCATATAATTGAAAAGGAAATATCTCCACATAAAATGTAGACAGAGTTCTCAGAAACTGTTTCTTCTTTGTGCATTCATCTCACAGTGTTGAACCTTTCTTTTGATTGAGGAGTTTTGAAACACTCTTTTTTGTTGAATCTGCAAGTGGATATTTGGAGCCCTTTGAAGCCCATGGTGGAAAAGGAAATATCTTCACATAAAAGCTAGACAGAAGCATTTTCAGAAACTTCGTTGTGATGTGAGCTTTCAACTTACAGAGTTGAACCTTTCTTTTGATTGAACAGTTCGGAAACAGTCTCTTTGTTGTACCTGCAAATGGATATTTGGAGCGCTTAGGGGCCTATAGTTGCAAGAGAAATATCTTCACATAAAAACTAGACAGAAGCATTCTGAGAAACTTCCTTGCAATGTGTATATTCATCTCACAGAGTTGAATCTTTCTTTTAATTGAGCAGTTTAGAAACACTCTTTTTGTAGAATATGCTAATGGATATTTCAAGCGCTTTGAGGCCTATGGTGGAAAAGGAAATATCTTCACATTAAAACTGCACAGAAACATTCTCAAAAACTTCTTTGTGATGTATGCATTCAACTCAAAGACTTGAAACTTTCTTTTGATTGAGCAGTTTGGAAACACTCTTTTTGTAGTATCTGCAAATGGATATTTGGAGTGCGTTGAGGCCTAGAGTTGAAAAGGAAATATCTTCACATACAAACTAGACAGAAGCCTTCTGAGAAACTTCTTTGTGATGTGTGCATTCACCTAACAGAGTTGAACATTTCTTCTGACTGAGCAGTTTTGAAACACTCTTTTTGTAGGATCTGCAACTGGAGATTTGGAGTGCTTTGAGGCCTATGGTGGAAAAGGAAATATCTTCACAAAAAAACTCGACAGGAGCATTCTCAGAAATTTCTTTCTGATGAGTGCATTCAACGCATGGAGTTGAAACTTTCTTCTGATTCAGCAGTTTTGAAACACTCTTTTTGCAGAATCTGCAAGGGGATATTTGTAACGCTTTGAGGCCTATGGTGGAAAAGGAAACAACCTCACATAAAAACTAAAAAGAAGCATTCTGAGGAACTACTTTGTGATGTGTGCATTCAAGTCACAGAGTTGAACCTTTATTTTGATTGAGAAGTTTGGAAACTCTCTTTTTGAAGTGTCTGCAAAAGGATATTTGGAGCGCTTTGAGGCCTATAGTTGAAAAGGAAATATCTTCACTTAAAAACTAGACAGAAGCATTCTGAGAAACTTCTTTGTGATGTGTGCATTCATCCCACAGAGTTGAATATTTCTTTTGGTTGAGCAGTTTTGAAACACTCTTTTTGTAGAATCTGCAAGTGTATATTTGGAGCGCTTTGAGACCTACAGTACAAAAGGAAATATCTCCACATAAAAACTAGGCAGAAGCATTCTGAGACACTTCCTTGTGATGTGTGCATTCATCTCACAGAATTGAACCTTTCTTTTGATTGAGCAGTTTTGAAACACTGTTTTTGTAGTATATCTGCAAGTGGATATTTGGAGCGATTGCGTCCTCTATTGGCATAGGACATGTCTTCACATAAAAACTAGACAGAAACATTCTCAGAAAGTTCTTTGTGATGTGTGCATTCAACTCACAGAGTTGAACCTTTGTTTATTTTGAGCAGTTTGGAAACACTCTTTTTGTAGTATCTGGAAATGGATATTTGGAGCGCTTTGAGGCATGTAGCTGAAAAGGAAATATCTTCACATAAAAACTTGACAGAAGCATTCTGAAAAACTTCTTCATGATGCATTCATTCATCTCACAATCTTGAACCTTTCTTTTGATTGAGCAGTTTTGAAGCACTATTTTTGGAGAATCTGCAATTGGATATTTGGAGCCCTTTGTGGCCTATGGTTGTAAAAGAAATATCTTCACATAAAAACTAGACAGAAGCATTCTCAGAAACTTCCTTGTGATGTGTTCATTTAACTCACAAAGTGGAAACTTTCTTTTGATTGAGGAGTTTTGAAACACTCTTGTAGAATCTGCAAGTGGATATTTGTAGCGCTTTGAGTCCTATGGTGGAAAAGGAAATATCTTCAAATAAAAAAAAGACAGAAGCATTCTCAGAAACTTCTTTGTGATGTGTTGATTCAACTCAGAAAGTTGAACATTTCTTTTGATTGAGCAGTTTGGGAACACTCTTTTTGCAGTATCTGCAAATGGATATTTGGAGCACTTTGAGTCCTGTAGTTGAGAAAGAAATATCTTCACATAAAAACTAGACAGCAGCATTCTGAGAAAATTCTTTGTGATGTGTGCATTCCCCTCACAGGTTTGAAACTTCTTTTGATTGAGCAGTTTTGAAGCACTCTTTTTGTAGAATCTACAGATGGATGTTTCGAGCGCTTTGAGGCCTACGGTGGAAAAGGAATTATCTTTACATAAAAACTAGACAAAAGCATTCTCAGAAACTTCTTTGTGCTGTGTGCATTCATCTCAGAGTGTTGAACTTTTCTTTTGATTAAACACTTTTGAAACACTCTTTCTGTAGTATCCGCAAGTGGATATTTGGAGTGCTTTGAGGACTATGGTGGAAAAGGAAATATCTCCACCTAAAACCAGACGGAAGGATACTGAGAAACTTCTTTGTGAAGAGTGCTTTCATCTCACAGAGTTGAACCTTTCTTCTGTTGAGCAGTTTTGACACGCTCTTTTTGTACAGTCTGCAAGTGGATATTTGGAGCGCTTTGAGGCCTATGGTTAGAAAGGAAATATCTTCACATAAAAACTAGACAGAAGCATACTCAGAAACTTCTTTGCAATGTGTGCATTTAACTCACAGAGTTGAACCTTCATTTTGATTGAGAAGTTTGGAAACACTGTTTTTGTAGTATCTGCAAATGTATATTTGGATTGCTTTCCAGCCTATTCTTGAAAAGGAAATATCTTCACATAAAAACTAGACAGAAGCATTCTGAGAAACCTCTTTGTGATGTGTGCATTCATTTCACAAAGTTCAACTTTTTTTTGATTGAGCAGTTTTGAAACACTCTTTTTGTAGAATCTGCATGTGGCTATTTGGAGCGCTTTGTGTCTATGGTGGAAAGGGAGTATCTTCACATAAAACCTAGATGGAAGAATTCTCAGAAACTTTTTGTGATGTGTGCATTCACCTCACAGAATTGATCGTCTCTTTTGCATTGAGCAGTTTGGAAACTCTCTTTTTGTGGTATCTGAAAATGGATATTTGGAGCGCTTTGAGGCCTATAGTTGAAAAGGAAATATATTCACATAAATGTAGACAGAGGCATTCTGAGAAACTTCTTTGTGATGTGTGCATTCCTCTCACAGAGTTGAACCTTTCTTTTGTTTGAGCAGCTTTGAAACACTGTTTTTGTAGAATCTGCAATTGGATATTTGGAGCGCTTTGAGGCCTATGGTGGAAAAGGAAATATCTTCACATAAATACTAGACAGAAGCATTCTCAGATACTTGTTTGTGATGTGTGCATTCGACTCACAGAGTTGAACGTTTCTTTTGATTGAGCAGTTTGGAAACAAACTTTTTGTGGAATCTGAAAATGGATATTTGGAGTGCTTTGAAGCCTATAGCTGAAAAGGGAATATCTTCACATAAAAACTAGACAGAAGGATCCTGAGAAAGTTTTTTGTGATGTGTGTATTCAACTCACAGAGTTAAAAATTTATTTTGATTGAGCAGTTTTGAAACACTCTTTTTGTAGAATCTGTAATTGGATATTTGGAGAGATTGCGGCCTCTGGTGGAAGAGGAAATATCTTCACATAAAAACTAGACAAAAGCATTCTCAGAAAGTTCTTTGTGATGTGTGCATTCAACTCTCAGAGTTGAGCCTTTCTTTTGATTGAGCAGTTTGGAAACACTGTTTTTGTACTATCTGCAAATGGATATTAGGATCGCTTTGAGGCCTATAGCTGAAAAGGAAATATCCTCACACAAAAACTAAAAAGAAGCATTCTGAGTAACTTCTTTGTGATGTGTGCATTCATCTCACAGAGTTGAACCTTTCTTTTTATTGAGCAGTTTTGAAACACACTTTTTGTAGAATCTGCACATGGATATTTGGAACGACTGCATTCTCTATTGGCAAAGGAAATATCTTCAGATAAAAACTAGAGAGAAGTATTCTCAGAAACCCCTTTGTGATGTGTGCATTCAACCCACAGGGTTGAATCTTTGTTTTGATTGAGCAGTTTGGAAAAACTCTTTTTGTTGTATCTGCAAGTGGATATTTGGAGTGCCTTGAGGCCTATACCTGAAAAGGAAATATCTTCACATAAAAACCAAAGAGAAGCATTCTGAGAATCCTCCTTGTGATGTATGCATTCATCACACAGAATCGAAAATTTATTTTGATTGAGCAGTTTTGAAACACTCTTTTTTGTGGAATCTGCAAGTGAATATTTGGAGGGCTTTAGGCCTACCTTAGAATAGCAAATATCTTCACATAAAAACTCGACAGATACATTCTCAGAAACTTCTTTGTGATGGGTGCATTCAACTCACCAAGTTGAAACTTTCTTTTGATTAAGCAGTTTGTTAACACTCTTTTTCTAGTATCTGAAAATTGATATTTGGTGTGCTTTGAGGCCTGTAGCTGAAAACGAAATATCTTCACATAAAAACTAGGTAGAAGCATTCTGAGAAACTTCTTTGTGATGTGTGCATTCGTCTCACAGAGTTGAACCTTTCTTTTATTGAGCAGTGTTGAAATACACTTTTTGTATAATCTGCAAGTGTATATTTGGAGAGCTTTGAGGCCTATGTTGGGATAGGAAATATCTTCACAAAAAAACTAGACAGAACCATTCTCAGAAACATCTTTGTGATGTGTGCTTTGAAATCACAGAGTTGAACCTTTCTTTTGATTGAGCAGTTTCAAAACACTCTTTTTTGGAGTACCTGCAAATGGATATTATAGCGCTTTGAGGCCTGTAGTTGAAAAGTAAATATCTTCAAATAAAAACTAGACAAAAACATTCTGAGAAACTTCTTTTTGATGTGTGCAGTCATCTCACAGCGCTAAACCTTTCTTTTGATTGAGCAGTTTAGAAACACCCTTTTTGTAAAATCTGCATGGGAATATTTGGAGCCCTTTGAGGTCTATGGTGTAAAAGGAAATATCTTCACATAAAAACTAGACAGAAGCATTCTCAGAAACTTATTTTTGATGTGTGCATTCAAGTCACTGTGTTGAAACTTTCTTCTGATTGTGCAGTTTGGAAACACTATTTTGTAATATCTGCAAATGAATATTTGGGGTGCTTTGAGGTTTATAGATGAAAAGGAAATATCTTCACATAAAAAGTAGACAGAAGCATTCTCAGAAACTCAGAATGTTTCCAAACTGCTCAAAGAAAGGTACAAATCTGTGAGATGAATGCACATATTGCAAAGAAGTTTCTCAGAATGCTTCTGTGAAATTTTATATGAAGACATTTCCTTTTCCACCATAGGCATCAGACCGTTCCACATATCCACTTGCAGATTCTACAAAACGAGTGTTTCAAAAGTCCTCAATCAAAAGGAAGGTTCAACTCTGTGAGACAAATGCACACGTCACAAAGAACTTTCTCAGAATGCTTTTGTGTAGTTTTTATGTGAAGATATTTCCTTTCCATAATAAGCATCAAGTCCCTCCAAATATCCACTTGCAGATGCTACAAAAAGAGTGTTTGAAAACTCCTGAATCATAAGAAAGTTTCAACTCTGTGAGACAAATGCACACATCACAAAGAAGTTTCTCAGAGGGGGTCTGGAGCCATGGTGGCTGAATAGGAACAACTCCGATCTATGGCTACCAGTGTGAGTGATGCAGAAGACGGGTGATTTCTGCATTTCCATCTGAGGTACCGGGCTCATCTCACTAGGTAGTGCCAGACAGTGGGTGCAGGTCGGTGGGTGAAGCGCACCATGCGTGAGCCGAAGAAGGGCGAAGCATTGTCTCACTCAGGAAGTGCAAGGGGACAGGGAATTCTCTCTCCTAGTCAAAGAATGGGGTGACAGAGGGCACCTGGAAATTCGGGTCACTCCAACCGTAATACTGCGCTTTTCCAATGGGGTTAAAAAACGGTGCACCAGGGGATTATATCCTGCACCTGTCTCGGGGAGTCCTATACCCACGGAGTCTTGCTGATTGCTAGCACAGCAGTCTGAGATCAAATTGCAAGGCGGCAGCGAGGCTGTGGGAGGGGAGCCCACCATTGGCCAGGCTTGCTTAGGTAAACAAAGCAGCAAGGAAGCTCGAACTGGGTGGAACCCACCACAGCTCAAGTAGGCCTGTCTGTCTCTTTACGCTCCACCTCTGGGGGCAGGGCACAGACAAACAAAAAGACAGCAGTAACCTCTGCAGACTTAAATGTCCCTGTCTGACAGCTTTGGAAAGAGCAGTGTTTCTCCCAGCACTCAGCTGGAGATCTGAGAACAGGCAGACTGTCTCCTCAAGTGAGTACCTGACCCCTGACCCCCGAACAGCCTAACTGGGAGGCACCCCTCAGTAGGGGCAGACTGACACATCACACGGCCGGGTACTCCTCTGAGACAAAACTTCCAGAGGAACGATCAGACAGCAGCATTCACGGTTCACGAAAATCTGCTGTTCTGCAGCCACTTCTGCTGGTACCCAGGAAAACAGGGTCTGGAATGGACCTCTAGCAAACTCCAACACACCTGCAGCTGAGGGTCCTGTCTGTTAGAAGGAAAACTAACAAACAGAAAGGACATCCACATCTATAACCTATCTGTACATCACCATCATCAAAGACCAAAAGTAGATAAAACCACAAAGATGGCAAAAAAACAGAGCAGAAAAACTGGAAACTCTAAAAAGCAGAGTGCCTCTCCTTTCCCAAAGGAACACAGCTCCTCACCAGCAATGCAACAAAGCTGGATGGAGAATGACTTTAACGAGTTGAGAGAAGAAGGCTTCAGATGATCAAACTACTCCAAGCTAAAGGAGGAAATTCAAACCAAAGGCAAAAAAGTTGAAAACTTTGAAAAAAATTTAGACGAATGTATAACTAGAATAACCAATACAGAGAAGTGCTTAAAGGAGCTGATGGAGCTGAAAGTCAAGGCTCGAGAACTACATGAAGAATGCAGAAGTCTTAGGAGCCAATGCAATCAACTGGAAGAAAGGGTATCAGTGATGGAAGACGAAATGAATGAAATGAAGCAAGAAGGGAAGTTAAGAGAAAAAGGAATGAAAAGAAACAAACAAAGCCTCCAAGAAATATGGTACTGAGTGAAAAGACCAAATCTACATCTGATTGGTGTACATGAAACTGAAGGGGAGAATGGAACCAAGTTGGAAAACACTCTGCGGGATGTTATCCAGGAGAACTGCCCCAATCTAGAAAGGCAGGCCAACATCCAGATTCAGGAAATACAGAGAATGCCACAAAGATACTCCTCGAGTAGAGCAACTCCAAGACATATCATTGTCCGATTCACCAAAGTTGAAATGAAGGAAAAAATGTTAAGGGCAGCCAGAGAGAAAGATTGGGTTACCCACAAAGGGAAGCCCATCAGACTAACAGAGGATCTCTCGGCAGAAACTCTACAAGCCAGAAGAGAGTGGGGGCGAATATTCAACATTCTTAAAGAAAAGAATTTTCAACCCAGAATTTCAGACCCAGCCAAACTCAGCTTCACAAGTGAAGGAGAAATAAAATACTTTACAGACAAGCAAATGCTGAGAGATTTTGTCACCACCAGGCCTGCCCAAAAAGAGCTCCTGAAAGAAGCACTAAACATGGAAAGGAACAACCGGTACCAGCCACTGCCAATAATGCCAAATTATAAAAACCATCAAGGCTAGGAAGAAAATGCATCAACTAATGAGCAATATAACCAGCTAACATCATCGTGACAGGATCAAATTCACACATAACAATATTAACTTTAAATGTAAATGGAGTAAATGCTCCAATTAAAAGACACAGACTGGCAAATTGAACAATGAGTCAAGACCCATCAGTGTGCTGTATTCAGGAAACCCATCTCACGTGCAGAGACACATATAGGCTCAAAATAAAAGGATGGAGGAAGATCTACCAAGCAAATGGAAAACAAAAAAAAGGCAGGGGTTGCAATACTAGTCTCTGATAAAACAGACTTTAAATCAAGAAAGATCAAAAGAGACAAAGAAGGCCATTACATAATGGTAAAGGGATCAATTCAATAAGAAGAGCTAACTATCCTAAATATATATGCACCCAATACAGGAGCACGTAGATTCACAAAGCAAGTCCTGAGTGACCTACAAAGAGACTTAGACTCCCACACAATAATAATGGGAGACTTTAACACCCCACTGTCAGCATTAGACAGATCAATGAGACAGAAAGTTAACAAGGATACCCAGGAATTGAACTCAGCTCTGCACCAAGTGGACCTAATAGACATCTACAGAACTCTCCACCCCAAATCAACAGAATATACATTTTTTTCAGCACCACACCACACCTATTCCAAAATTGACCACATACTTGAAAGTAAAGCTCTCCTCAGCAAATGTAAAAGATCAGAAATTATAACTAACTGTCTCTCAGACCACAGTGCAATCAAACTAGACCTTAGGATTAAGAAACTCACTCAAAAGTGCTCAACTACATGGAAACTGAACAACTTGCTCCTGCATAACTACTGGATACATAACGAAATGAAGGCAGAAATAAAGATGTTTTTTGAAACCAATGAGAACAAAGACACAACATACCAGAATCTCTGGGATGCATTCAAAGCAGTGTGTAGAGGGAAATTTATAGCACTAAACGCCCACAAGAGAAAGCAGGAAAGATCTAAAATTGACACCATAACATCACAATTAAAAGAACTAGAAAAGCAAGAGCAAACACATTCAAAAGCTAGCAGAAGGCAAAAAAAATAACTAAAATCAGAGCAGAACTGAAGGAAATAGAGACACAAAAAACCCTTCAAAAAATTAATGAATCCAGGAGCTGGTTTTTTGAAAGGATCAACAAAATTGATAGATCGCTAGCAAGACTAATAAAGAAGAAAAGAGAGGAGAATCAAATAGATGCAATAAAAAATGATAAAGGGGATATCACCACCGATCCCACAGAAATACAAACTACCATCCGAGAATACTACAAACACCTCTACGCAAATAAACTAGAAAATCTAGAAAAAATGGATAAATTCTTCAACACATACACTCTCCCAAGACTAAATCAGGAAGAAGTTGAATCTGTGAATAGACCAATAACAGGATCTGAAATTGTGGCAATAATCAATAGCTTATCAACCAAAAAGAGTCCAGGACCAGATGGATTTACAGCCGAATTCTACCAGAGGTACAAAGAGGAACTGGTACCATTCCTTCTGAGACTATTCCAAACAATAGAAAAAGAGGGAATCCTGCCTCACTCATTTTATGAGGCCAGCATCATCCTGATACCAAAGCCAGGCAGAGACACAATAAAAACAGAGAATTTTAGACCAATATCCTTGATGAACATTGATGCAGAAATCCTCAATAAAATACTGGCAAACCGAATCCAGCAGCACATCAAAAAGCTTATCCACCATGATCAAGTGGGCTTCATCCCTGGGTTGCAAGGCTGGTTTAATATACACAAATCAATAAATGTAATCCAGCATATAAACAGAACCAAAGACAAAAACAAAATAATAATATCAATAGATGCAGAAAAGGCCTTTGACAAAATTCAACAACTCTTCATGCTAAAAACTCTCAATAAATTAGGTATTGATGGGATGTATCTCAAAATATTAAGAGCTATCTATTACAAACCCACAGCCAATATCATACTGAATGGGCAAAAACTGGAAGCATTCCCTTTGAAAACGGGCACAAGACAGGGATGCCCCCTCTCACCACTCCTATTCAACATAGTGTTGGAAGTTCTGGCCAGGGCAATCAGGCAGGAGAAGGAAATAAAGGGCATTCAATTCGGAAAAGAGGAAGTCTACACAACTGCTTCAAAGAGAATAAAATACCTAGGAATCCAACTTACAAGGGACGTGAAGAACCTCTTCAAGGAGAACTACAAACTACTGCTCAATGAAATAAAAGAGGATACAAACAAATGGAAGAACATTCCATGCTCATGGGTAGGAAGAATCAATATCGTGGAAATGGTCATACTGCCCAAGGTAATTTATAGATTCAATGCCATCCCCATCAAGCTACCAATGACTTTCTTCACAGAATTGGAAAAAACTACTTTAAAGTTCATATGGAACCAAAAAAGAGCACGTATCTCCCAGCCAATTCTAAGCCAAAAGAAAAAAGCTGGAGGCATCATGCTACCTGACTTCAAACTATACTACAAGGCTACAGTAACCAAAACACCATGGTACTGGTACCAAAACAGAGATATAGTTCAATGGAACAGAACAGAGCCCTCAGGAATAATGCCACATATCTACAACTATCTGATCTTTGACAAACTTGAGAAAAACAAGGAATGGGGAAAGGATTCCCTATTTAATGAATGGTGCTGGGAAAAGTGGCTAGCCATATGTAGAAAGCTGAAACTGGATCCCTTTCTTACACCTTATATAAAAATTAATTCAAGATGGATTAAAGACTTACATGTTAGACCTAAAACCATAAAAACCCTAGAAGAAAACCTGGGCATTACCATTCAAGGCATAGGCATGGACAAGGACTTCATGTCTAAAACACCAAAAGCAATAGCAACAAAACCCAAAATTGACAAATGGGATCTAATTAAACTAAAGAGCTTCTGCACAGCAAAAGAAGCTACCATCAGAGTGAACAGACAACCTACAAACGGAAGAAAATTTTCGCAACCTACTCTTCTGACAAAGGGCTAATATCCAGAATCTACAATGAATTCAAACAAATTTACAAGAAAACAACAAACAACCCCATCAAAAAGTGGGCAAAGGACATGAAAAGACACTTCTCAAGGGAAGACATTTATGCAGGCAAAAAACACATGAAAAAATGCTCACCATCACTGCCCATTAGATAAATGCAAATCAAAACCACAATGAGATACCATCTCACACCAGTTAGAATGGCAATCATTAAAAAATCAGGAAACAACAGGTGTTGGAGACGATGTAGAGAGATAGGAACATTTCTACACTGTTGGTGGGACTGTAAACTAGTTCAACCATTGTGGAAGTCAGTGTGGGGATTCATCAGGGATCTAGAACTAGAAATACCATTTGACCCAGCCATCCCATTACTGGGTATATACCCAAAGGACTATAAATCGTGCTGCTATAAAGACACTTGCACACGTATGTTTACTGTGGCACTATTCACAATAGCAAAGACTTGGAACGAACCCAAATGTTCAACAATGATAGACTGGATTAAGAAAATGTGGCACATATGACCGATGGAATACTATGCAGCCATAAAAAAATGATGAGTTCATGTCCTTTTTAGGGACATTGATGAAATTGGAAATCATCATTCTCAGTAAACTATCACAAGAACAAAAAACCAAACACCGCATCTTCTCACTCACAGGTGAGAACTGAACAATGAGAACTCATGGACACAGGAAGGGGAACTTCACACTCTGGGGACGATTGTGGGGTGGGGGGAGGGGGGAGGGATAGCTATAGGAGATATACCTAATGCTAAATCACGAGTTAATAGATGCAGCACACCAACATGTCATATGTCTACATATGTAACTAACCTGCACATTGTGCACATGTACACTAAAACTTAAGGTATAATAATAATAAAATAAAAAAAAAATAACTTTCTCAGAATGCTTCTGTGCAGTTTTTTTGTGAAGATATTCCCTTTTCCATCATAGGCCTCAAAGCGCTCCAAATATCCACTTGCTGATTCTACAAAAAGAGTGTTTCAAAACAGCTCAATCAAAAGAAAGATTCAACACCATGAGATTAATGCACACATCACAAAGAAGTTTCTCAGAATGCTTCTGTGTAATTTTAATGTGCAGATATTTCCATTTCCACAATAGGTCTCAAAGCGCTCCAAATATCCACTTGGAGATTCTACAAAAAGATTGTTTCAAAACTGCTCAATCAAAAGAAAGATTCAACTCTGTGAGATGAATGCACACAACACAAAGAAGTTTCTGAGAATGCTTCTGTGTAGTTTTTATGTGAAGATATTTCCTTTTCCAACACAGGACTCAAAGCGTTGCAAATATCCACCTGCAGATTCTACAAAAAGAGTGTTTCCAAACTGCTCAATCAAAAGAAACATTCAACTCTGTGAGATTAATGCACAAATCACAAAGAAGTTTCTCGGAATGCTTCTGTGTAGCTTTTATATGAAGATATTTCCTTTCCCACAATAGACCTCAAAGTGCTGCAAATATCCACTTGCAGATTCTCCAAATAGAGTGTTTCAAAACTGCTGAACCAAAAGAAAGGTTCAACTCTGTCAGATGAATGCAAACATCACAAAGAAGTTTCTCAGAATGGTTGCATGTAGTTTTTATGTGAAGATATTTCCTTTTCCACCATAGACCTCAATTCGCTCCAAATATCCACTTGGAGACTCTAAAAAGAGAGTGTTTCCAAACTACTCAATCAAAAGAGAGGTTCAACTCTGTGAGATGAATGCACACATGGCAAATAAGTTTCTCAGACTGCTTCTGCATAGTTTTTATATGAAGATATTTCCTTTTCCACCATAGACCTGGAAGCGCTCCAAATATTCACTTGCAGATTCTACAAAAAGAGTGTTTCCAAACTGCCAATCAAAAGAAAGATTGAAATCTGTGAGGTGAATGCACACATCTCAAACAAGTTTCTCAGAATGCTTCTGTGTAGTTTTTATCTGAAGATATTTCCTTTTCCACAATAGGCCTCAAAGTGCTCCAAATATCCACTTGCAGATTCTTCAAAAAGTGTGTTTCCAAACTGCTAAATTAAAAGAAATTTTCTACTCTATGAGATGAATGCACACATCTCAAATCAGTTTCTCAGAATGCTTCAGTGTAGTTTTTATGTGAAGATATTTACTTTTCCAAAATGGGCCTCAAAGAGCTCAATGTATTCACTGCAGATTCTACAAAAAGAGTGTTTCAGAACTGCTCAATCAAAAGCAAGGTTCACCTCTGTGAGATGAATGCACACATCACAAAGAAGTTTCTCATAATGCTTTTATGTAGTTTTCATGTGAAGATATTTCCTTATCTACCACAGGCCACAAAGCGCTCTAAATATCCACATGCAAATCCTACAAAAAGAGGGTTTCAAAACAGCTCAATCAAAAGAAAGTTTTAACTCTGTGAGATGAATACACACATCACAAAGAAGTTTCTCAGAATGCATCTGTGTAATTATTATGTGAAGATATTTCCTTTTCCACAGTAGGCCTCAAAGTGCCCCAAATATCCACTTGCAGATTCTACAAAAACAGTGTTTCAAAACTGCTCAATTCAAAGAAAGGATCAACTCTGTGAGATGAATGCACACATCACAAAGAAGTTTATCAGAATGCTTCTGTGTAGTTTTTATATGAAAATATTTCGTTTTCCACCATAGGCGTCAAAGAGTGCCAAATATCCACTTACAGATTATACAAAAAGAGAGTTTCAAAACTCCTCAAGCCATAGATAGGTTCAGCTCTGTGAGTTGAATGCACACATTGCAAAGCAGTTTGTCAGAAAGTTTCTTTGTAGTTTTTATGTGAAGATATTTCCTTTCCCACCATAGTCCCCAGAGCGCTCCAAATATCCTCTTGCGGATTCTATAATAAGAGTGTTTTCAAACTGCTCAATGAAATGAAAGATTCAACTCTGTGAGATAAATGGACACATCACAAAGAAGTTTCTCAGAATGCTTCTGTGAAGTTTTTCAGTGAAGATATTTCCTTTTAAACAATAGGCCTCAAAGCGCTCCAAATATCCAGCTGCAGATTCTAGAAAAAGGGTGTTTCAAAATTGCTCAATCAAAGGAAAATTTCAACCCTGTGAGATGAATGCACACGTCACAAAGAAGTTTCACAGAATGCTTCTGTGTAGTTTCTATGTGAAGATATTTCCTTTTACACAGTAGGCCTCAAAGTGCTCCAAATGTCCACTTACAGATTCTACAAAAAGAGTGTTTCAAAACTACTCAAACAAAAGAAAGGTTCAACTCTGTGAGATGAATGCACCCATAACAAAGAAGTTTCTCAGAATGCTTCTGTGCATTTTTTATGTGAAGATATTTCCTTTTCCACCATAGGCTGCAAAGGACTCAAATAACCACTTGCAGATTCTACAAAAAAGGATTTTGCAATTGCTCAATCAAAAGATACGTTCGACACTGTGAGTTGAATGCACACATCACAAAGAAGTTTCTCAGAATGGTTCTGTGTAGTTTTTATGTGAAGATATTTCTTTTTCCACCATGGGCCTCAAACGCACCAAATATCCACCTGAAAATTCTACAAAGAGAGTATTTCCAAACTGCTCAATTAAAAAGAAAGGTTCAACTCGGTGAGATGAATGCACACATCGCAAAGAATTTCCTTAGAATGCTTCTGTGTCGTTCTTATGTGAAGATATTACCTTTTCAAAAATATGACACAAAGTGCTCCAAATATCCACTTGCAGACACAACAAAAAGAGAGATACCAAATTGCTCAATTGAAAGATAGGTTCAACTCTGTGAGTTGAAGGCACATATCACAAAGAAGTTTCTCAGAATGCTTCTGTACAGTTTTTATGTGAAGAAATTTCGTTTGCCACCATAGGCCTCAAACCGCTCCAAATATCCACTTGCAGATTCTACAAAAAGAGTGTTTCCAATCTGCCTAATCAAAAGAGTAATTCACCTCTGTGAAATGAATGCACACATCGGAAAAAAGTTTCTCAGAATGCTTCCGTGTAGTTTTCATGTGAAGATATTTTCTTTTCCACCATAGGCCTCAAAGCATTCCAAATATCCACTTGCAGATTTTATAAAAAGAGAGTTTCAAAACTGCTCTGTCAAAAGTTAGGTTCAACTCTGTAAGATGAATGCCCACATTATGAAGAAGTTTCTCAGAATGCTTCTGTGTAGTTTTTATGTGAAGATATTTACTTTTCCACCGTAGGTCTCAAAGCGCTGCAAATATCCACTTGCAGATTCTACAAAAAGAGCATTACCAAAGTACTGAATGAAAAGAAAGGTTCAACTCTGTGAGATTAATGACCACATCACAAATAAGTTTCTCAAAATGCTTCTTTGTAGTTTTTATGTGAGGATATTTTCCTTTCCAAAATAGGCCACAAAGGGCTCCAAATATTCACTTGCAGATTCTACAGAAAGAGAGATTCAAAACTGTTCAAACAAAGATAGGTTCAACTCTGTGAGTTGAATGCACACATCACAAGGAAGTTACCCAGAATGCATCTGTGTAGTTTTTATGTGAAGATATTTCCTTTTTCCGCAATAGGCCTCAAATCGCTCCAAATATCCACTTACAGATTCTACAAAAAGAGTGTTTCAAAACTACTCAATCAAAAGAAAGGTTCAAGTCTGTGAGACGAATGCACTCATCAGAAAGTAGTTTCTCAGAATGCTTCTGTGTAGTTTTTATGTGAAGATATTTGCTTTTCCACAGTAGGCCTCAAAGCGCTACAAATATCCACTTGCAGATTCTACAAAAACAGTGTTTCAAAACTGCTAAATCAAAAGATAGGTTCAACTCTGTGAGTTGAATGCACACATAACAAAGAAGTATCTCAAATTGCTTCTGTGCAGTTTTTATGTGAAGATATTTCCTTTTCCAAAATAGGCCTCAAAACACTCCAAATATCGACTTCCAGATACTACAAAAAGACTGTTTCAAAACTGCTTAATCAAAAGAAAGGTTCAACTCTGTTTGATGAATGCACTCATCACAAAGAAGTTTCTCATAATCCTTATGTGTAGCTTTTATTTGAAGATATTTCCTTTTACACCATAGGGTGAAAATGGCTCCAAATATCCACTTGCAGATTCTACAAAAAGAGAGATGCAAAAGAGCTCAATCAAAAGATAGGTACAACTCTATGCGTTGAATGCACACATCACAAAGAAGTTTCTCAGAATGCTTTTGTGTATTTTTTATGTGAAGATAATTCCTTTTCCACAGTAGTCCACAAATCGCTCCAAATATCCACCTGCAGATTTTACAAAAAGAGTGTTTCAAAACTGCTCAATCAAAAGAAAGTTTCAACTCTGTGAGATGAATGCACACATCACAAAGAAGTTTCTCTAAATGCTTCTGTGTAGTTTTTATTTGAAGATATTTCTTTTTCCACCATAGGTCGCAAACGGCTCCAAATGTCCAATGGCAGATTCTGCAAAAAAAGACATTAAAAACTGCTCAATCAAAAGATAGATTCAACTCTGTGAGATGAATGCAATCATCACAAAGAAGTTTCTCAGAATGCTTCTGTGTAGTTTTTATGTGAAGATATTTCCTTTTCCACAAAAGGCCTCAAAGTGCTCCAAATATTCACTTGCAGATACTACAAAAAGAGTGTTTCAAAACTGCTCAATCATAAGATAGGTTCAACCCTGTGAGTTGAATGCGCACATCACAAAGAAGTTTATCAGAATGTTTCAGTGTAGTTTTTATTTGAAGATATTTACTTTTCCACCGTAGGCCACAAAGGGCTCCAAATATCCACTTGCAGATTCTACAAAATGAGAGATTGGTAACTGCTCAATCAAAAGATAGGCTCAACTCTGTGAGTTGAATGAAGCCCTCACAAAGAAGTTTCACAGAATGCTTCTCTGTAGTTTTTATGTGAAGATATTTCCTTTTCCACAATCCGCCTCAAAGCTCTCCAAATATCCACATGCAGATTCTGCAAAAAAAAAATAACAGATCCTGACTGCACAATCAAAAGATAGATACAGCTCTGTGTGTTGAATGAACACCCCAAAAATAAGTTTCTCAGAATGCTTCTGTGTAGTTTTTATGTGAAGATATTGGCTTTTCCACAGTAGTCCTCAAAGCGCTCCAAATATCCTCTTGCAGATTTTGCAAAAAGAGAGATTCAAAACTGCTCATTCAAAAGATAAGTTCAACTCTGTGAGTTGAATGCACACTTCACAAAGAAGTTTCTCAGAATGCTTTCGTGTAGTTTTTATCTGAAGATATTTGCTTTTCAACGGTAGGCCTCAAAGCACTCCAAATATCCACTTGCAGATTATACAAAAAGATTGTTTCAAAACTGATCAATCATATGAAAGGTTCATCTCTGTGAGATGAGTGCACACATCACAAAGAAGTTTCTCAGAATGCTTCTGTGTAGTTTTTATGTGAAGTTATTTGCTTTTCCACAGTAGCCCTCAAAGCACTCCAAATATCCTCTTGCAGATTCCGCAAAAAGAGAGATTCAAAACTCCTCAATCAAAAGATAGTTTCAAATCTGTGAGTTGAATGCCTACATAACAAAGAAGTTTCTCAGAATACTTCTGTGTAGCTTTTATGTGAAGATATTACCTTTTTCAAAATAGGCTTCAAAGCCCTCCAAATATCCACTTCCAGAATGCACAAAAAGAGTGTTTCAAAACTGCCCAATCAAAAGAAAAGTTCGACTCTGTGTGATGAATGCACTCATCACAAAGCAGTCTCTCTAAATGCTTCTGTGTAGTTTTTATTTGAGATATTTCCTTTTCCACCATAGGTCGCAAATGGCTCCAAATATCCACTGGCAGATTCTGCAAAAAAACAGATTAAAAACTGCTCAATCAAAAGATAGTTTCAACTCTGTGAGTTGAATGCACGCATCACAAAGAAGTTTCTCAGAATGCTTCTGAGTAGTTTTATGTGAAGATTTACCCTTTTCCACCTTAGGCTTCAAAGCACTCCTGGTATCCACTTGCAGATTCTACACAAAGAGTGTTTCAACACTGCTCAATTAAAAGAAACGTTTAACTCTGTGAGATGAATGCACAAAAAAAAAGTTTCTGAGAATGCTACTGTGTAGTTTTTATGTGAAGATATTTCCTTTTCCACAATAGGCCTCAAAACGCTACAAATATCCACCTGCACATTCTACAAAAAGAGTGTATCAAGACTGCTCAATAGAATGAAAGGTTCACCTCTGTGAGATGAGTTCTCACAACACAATGAAGTTTCTCAGAATGCTTCTGTGTAGTTTTTATGGGAAGATATTTCCTTTTCCACCATTGGCCAAATAGGGCTCCAAATAACCACTTACAGATTCTACAAAAAGAGAGTTTCAAAACTACTCTATGAGAAGATGGGTTCAACTCTGCGAGTTGAATGAACACATCACAAAGAAGCTTCTCAGAATGATTCTGTGTAGTTTTTACTTGTAGATATTTCCTTTTCCACCATAGCCCTCAAAGCTGTCCAAATATCCAATTGCAGATTCTACGAAAAGAGTATTTCAAAACTGCTCAAACAAAAGAGAAGTTCAACTCTGTGAGATGAATGCACACATCACAAGGAAGTTTCTCAGAATGCTTCTGTGTAGTTTTTATGTGAAGATATTTCCTGTTGCACAATAGGCTTCAATGCCCTCCAAATATCCACTTTCAGATTCTACAAAAAGAGTGTTGCCAAACTGCTCAATCAAAGGAGAGGTTCAACACTGTGAGATGAATGCACTCATCACAAAGAAGTTTCTCAGAATGTTTCTTGTAGTTTTTATGCGAAGATATTCCCTTTTCCACAATAGGCCTCAAAGAGATCCAAATATCCACTTGCAGATTCTACAAAAAGAGAGTTTCAAAACTGCTCTATCAAAAGATAGGTTCAACTCTGTGAGATGAATGCACACATCACAAAGTAGTTTATCATAATGCTCCTGTGTAGTTTTTATGTGAAGATATTCACTTTTCCACCATAAGCTTCAAAGCGCTCCAAATATCCACATGCAGATTCTACAGAAAGAGTGTTTCAAATCTGCTCAATCAAAAGAAAGTTCAACTCCGTGAGATGAATGCACAAAATCACAAAGAAGTTTCTCAGAATACCTCTGTGTAGGTTTTATGTGAAGATATTTGCTTTTCCACAGTAGGCCTCATAGCGCTCCAAATATCCACCTGCAGATTCCACAAACAGAGTGTTTGGTAACTGCTCAATCATAAGGTGGGTTCAACCCTGTGTGATGAATGCACACATCACAAAATATTTCTCAGAATGCTTCTGTGTAGTTTTTATTTGAAGATATTTCCTTTCCCACCATAGGGTGCAAAGGGCTCAGAAAATCGACGTGCAGATTCTACAAAAAGAGAGATTCAAAACTGCTCCATCAAAGACAGGTTCAACTCTGTGAGTTGAATGCACCCATCACAAAGAAGTTTCTCAGAATGCTTCTATGTAATTTTTATGTGAAGATATTTCTTTTTCCATAGTAGGCCACAAAGAGCTCCAAATATCCACTTGCAGATTCTGCAAAAGGGGAGTTTCAAAACTGCTCAATCAAAAGACAAGTTCAATGCTGTGAGTTGAATGCACACGTAACAAAGAAGTTTATCAGATTGCTTCTGTGTAGTTTTTATGTGAAGTTATTTCCTTTTCCAAAATAAGCCACAAAGCCCTCCAAATATCTGCTTCCAGATTCCAAGCAAAGAGTTTTTCAAAACTGGTCAATCAAAATAAAGCTTCAACTCTGTGTAATGAATACACTCATCACAAAGAAGTTTCTCTGAATGCTTCTATGTAGTTTCCATTTGAAGATACTTCCTTTTCCACCATAGGGTGTAAAGGGCTCCTAACATCCACTTGCAGATTCCACAAAAAGAGATTCAGAACTGCTCAATCAAAAGATAGTTTCAACTCTGTGAGTTGAATACACACATCACAAGGAAGTTTCTCAGAATGCTTCTGTGAAGTTTTTTATGTGAAGATATTTCCTTTTCCACAATAGGCCTCAAACCCTCCGAATATCCACTTTCAGATTCTACAAAGAGAGTGTTTCAAAACTGCTCAATCATAAGATAGGTTCAACCGTGTGAGAAAAATGCACACATCACAAAGAAATTTCTCAGAATACTTCTGTGTAGTTTTTATTTGAAGATATTTCCTTTTCCACCATAGGGCAGAAAGGGCTACAAATATCCACTTACATATTCTACAAAAAGAGAGATTCAAAACTGCTCAATCAAAAGACAGGTTGAACTCTGTGAGTTGAATGCACCCTTCAAAAAGAAGTTTTACAGAAATCTTCTGTGTAGTTTTTATGTGAAGATATTTCCTTTTCCACTATGGGCCTCAAAGCTCTCCAAATATCCACTTGCAGATTCTGTAAAAAGAGACTCAAAACTGCTCAATGAAAAGATAGTTTCAACTCCGTGTGTTGAATGCACACCTCACAAAGAAGTTTCTCAGAATGCATCTGTGTAGTTTTTATGTGAAGATATTTGTTTTTCCACATTGAGCCTCAAAGCACTCCAAATTTCCACCTGCAGATTCTACAAAAACAGTGTTTCAAAACTGCTCCATCAAGAGATAGGTTCAACTCTGTGAGTTGAATGCAGACATCACAAAGTAGTTTCTTAGAATGCTTCTGTGTAGTTTTTATGTGAAGATATTTCCTATTCCACAATAGGACTCAAATCGCTCCAAATATCCACTTGCAGATTCTACACAAAGAGTATTTCAAAACTGCTCAATCAAAAGAAAGGTTCAACTCTGTGAGATGAATGGACAAATCACAAAGTGGTTTCTCAGAATGCTTCTCTGCAGTTTTTATGTGAGGAAATGTCCTTTCCAACAATTCTACTCAAAGCGCTCCAAATATACACTTGCAGATTCTACAAAAGCAGTGTTTCAAAACTGCTCAATCATAAGATAGGTTCAACATTGTGAGATGAATGCACACCTCACAAAAAAGTTTCTCATAATACTTCTGTGTAGTTTTTATTTGAAGATATTACCTTTACCACCATAGGTTGCAATGGGCTCCTAATATCCACTTGCAGATACTGAAAAATGAGAGATTCAAAAGTGCTCAATCAAAAGATAGGTTCAACTCTGTGAGATGAATGCACACATAACAAACAAGTGTTTCAGAATGCTTCTGTGCAGTTTTTATGTGAAGATATTTCCTTTTCCAAAATAGGACTCAAAGCCCTCCAAATATCCACTTCCAGATTACACAAAAAGAGTGTTTCAAAACTGCTCAATCAAAAGAAAGGTTCAACTCTGTGAAATGAATTCAAAAAATCACAAAGAAGTTTCTGTGAATGTTTCTGTGTAGTTTTTAAGTGAAGCTATTTCCATTTGCACCATAGGCTGCAAATGGCTCCAAATATCCACTTGCAGATTCTACAAAAAGAGAGTTTCAAAGCTGCTCCATCAAAAGATAGGTTAAACTCTGTGAGATGAATACACACATCACTAAGAAGTTTCTCAGATTGCTTCTGTGTAGTTTTTATGTAAAGATATTTCTTTTTCCACCAGAGGCCTCAGAGTGCTCCAAATATTCAGTTGCACATTCTACAAAAAGAGTGTTTCAAAACTGCTCAATCAAAAGAAAGGTTCAACTCTGTGAGATGAATGCACACATCACAAAGAGGTTTCTGTGAATCTGTCTGTGTAGTTTTTATGTGAAGATATTTCCTTTTCCACCAGATGCCACAAAGGTCTCCAAATATCCACTTGCAGATTCTGCAAAAAGAGATTCAAAACTGCTCTATCAAAAGATAGGTTCAACTCTATGAGATGAATACACACATCACAAAGAAGTTTCTCAGAATGCTTCTGTGTAGTATTTATGTGAAGATATTTCCTTTTCCACAATAGGCATCAAAGCAATCCAAATATCCCCTCACAGATTCTACAAAAAGATTGTTTCAAAGCTGCTCAATCAAAAGAAATGTTCAACTCTGTGAGATGAATGCACACAAAAGGAAGAAGTTTCTGAGAATTCTTCTGTGTAGTCTTTATGTGAAGGCATTTCCTTTTCCACAATAGGCCTCAAATCACTCAAAATATCCACTTGCAAATTCTACAAAAAGAGTGTTTCAAAACTGCTCCATTAAAAGAAAGGCTCAACTCTGTGAGGTGAATGCACACATCACAAAGTAGTTTCTCAGAATGCTTCTCTGTAGTTTTTATGTGAAGATATTGGCTTTTCCACTGTAAGTCTCAAAGGCCTCTAAATATCCACTTCCAGATTCTATGAAAACAGTCATTCAAAACTGCTCAATCAAAAGAAGGGATCAACACTGTGAGATGAAAGCACACATCACAAAGAAGTTTCTCAGAATTCTTCTGTGTAGTTTTTATGTGGAGACATTTGCTTTTCCCCCATAGGCATCACAGCGCTCCTAATATCCACTTGGAGATCCTACAAAAAGAGTGTTTAAAAACTGCTCAAAAGATATACCTAATGCTAGATGACAAGTTATTGGGTACAGCGTACCAGCATGGCACATGTATACATATGTAAATAAGCTGCACATTGTACACATGTACCCTAAAACTTAAAGTATAATAATAATAATAATAAACTTCTCAAAAGAATGGATCAACACTGTGAGATGAATGCACACATCACAAAGGAGTTTCTCAGAATGCTTCTGTGTAGTTTTTATTTGAAGATATGTGCTTTTCCACAACTGGACTCAAAGCGCTCCAAATATCCATTTGCAGATTCTACAAAAAGAGTGTTTCAAAACTGCTCAATCATAATATAGCTTCAAACCTGTGAGGTGAATGCACACCTCACAAAGACGTTTCTCAGAATGCTTCTGTGCAGTTTTGATTTGAAGATATTACCTTTCCACCATAGGTCGCAAAGGGCTCCAAATATCCACCTGCAGATTCTGCAAAAAGACAGATTCAAAACTGCTCATTCAAAAGAGAGGTTCGACTCTGTGAGTTGATTGCAAATCTCACAAAGAAGTTTCTCCGAAGGCTTCTGTGTAGTTTTTATGTGAAGATATTTGCTTTTCCACAGTAGGCCTCAAAGCTTTCCAAATATCCCCTTGCAGATACTGAAAAAAGAGAGATTCAAAACTGCTCAATCAAAAGATAGGTTCAACTCTTTGAGTTGAATGCACACATAAAAAATAAGTTTCTGAGAATGCTTCTGGGTAATTTTTACGTGAAGATATTTTTTATTCCAAAATAGGACTCAAAGCCCTCCAAATATCCACTTCCAGATTCTACAAAGGAGTGTTTCAATACTGCTCAATCAAAAGAAAGTTTCAACTGTGTGAAATGAATGTAAAAAATCACAAAGAAATTTCTCAGAATGCTTCTGTGCAGTTTATATGTGAAGATATTTCCTTTTCCACAATAGGCCGCAAAGGGCTCCAAATATCCACTTGCAGATTCTACAAAAAGTGAGTTTCAAAACTGCCCTATCAAAAGATAGGTGCAACTCTGTGAGATGAATGCACACATCACAAAGAAGTTTCTCAGATTGCTTCTGTGTCGTTTTTATGTGGAGATATTTCTTTTTCCACCACAGGCCTCAGAGCGCTCCAAATATCCAGTTGCTGATTCTACAAAAAGAGTGTTTCAAAACTGCTCAGTCAAAAGGAAGGTTCAACTCTTTGAGATGAATGCAAACATCACAAAGATGTTTCTGAGAATCCCTCTGTGTAGTTTTTATGTGAAGATATTTCCTGTTGCACAATAGGCTTCAATGCCCTCCAAATATCCACTTGCAGATTCTACAAAAAGAGTGTTGCCAAACTGCTCAATCAAAGGAGAGGTTCAACACTGTGAGATGAATGCACTCATCACAAAGAAGTTTCTCAGAATGTTTCTTGTAGTTTTTATGCGAAGATATTCCCTTTTCCACAATAGGCCTCAAAGAGATCCAAATATCCACTTGCAGATTCTACAAAAAGAGAGTTTCAAAACTGCTCTATCAAAAGATAGGTTCAACTCTGTGAGATGAATGCACATATCACAAAGTAGTTTATCATAATGCTCCTGTGTAGTTTTTATGTGAAGATATTCACTTTTCCACCATAAGCTTCAAAGCGCTCCAAATATCCACATGCAGATTCTACAAAAAGAGTGTTTCAAATCTGCTCAATCAAAAGAAAGTTCAACTCCGTGAGATGAATGCATAAAATCACAAAGAAGTTTCTCAGAATACCTCTGTGTAGGTTTTATGTGAAGATATCTGCTTTTCCACAGTAGGCCTCATAGCGCTCCAAATATCCACCTGCAGATTCCACAAACAGAGTGTTTGGTAACTGCTCAATCATAAGGTGGGTTCAACCCTGTGTGATGAATGCACACATCACAAAATATTTCTCAGAATGCTTCTGTGTAGTTTTTATTTGAAGATATTTCCTTTCCCACCATAGGGTGCAAAGGGCTCAGAAAATCGACGTGCAGATTCTACAAAAAGAGAGATTCAAAACTGCTCCATCAAAGACAGGTTCAACTCTGTGAGTTGAATGCACCCATCACAAAGAAGTTTCTCAGAATGCTTCTATGTAATTTTTATGTGAAGATATTTCTTTTTCCATAGTAGGCCACAAAGAGCTCCAAATATCCACTTGCAGATTCTGCAAAAGGAGAGTTTCAAAACTGCTCAATCAAAAGACAAGTTCAATGCTGTGAGTTGAATGCACACGTAACAAAGAAGTTTATCAGATTGCTTCTGTGTAGTTTTTATATGAAGTTATTTCTTTTTCCAAAATAGGCCTCAAAGCCCTCCAAATATCTGCTTCCAGATTCCAAGCGAAGAGTTTTTCAAAACTGGTCAATCAAAATAAAACTTCAACTCTGTGTAATGAATGCACTCATCACAAAGAAGTTTCTCTGAATGCTTCTATGTAGTTTCCATTTGAAGATACTTCCTTTTCCACCATAGGGTGCAAAGGGCTCCTAACATCCACTTGCAGATTCCACAAAAAGAGATTCAGAACTGCTCAATCAAAAGATAGTTTCAACTCTGTGAGTTGAATACACACATCACAAAGAAGTTTCTGAGAATGTTCCTGTGTAGTTTTTATGTGAAGATATTTTCTATTCCACAATAGGCCTCATAGCGATACAAACATCCACTTCCAGATTATACAAAAAGAGTGTATCAAAACTGCTCAATCAAATGAAAGGTTCACCTCTGTGAGATGAGTGCTCACATCACCAAGAAGTTTCTCAGAATGCTTCTGTGTAGTTTTTATGGAAGATATTTCTTTTTCCACCATTGACCACAGAGGGCAACAAATAGCCAGTTACAGATTCTACAAAAAGAGTTTCAAAACGGCTCTATGAAAAGACAGGTCCAATTCTGCAAGTTGAATGCACACATCATAAAGAAGCTTCTCAGAATGATTCCGTGTAGTTTTTATGTGAGGACATTTCATTTTTCCAACATAGGCCTCGAAGCACTCCAAATATCCACTTGCAGATTCTATGAAAAGAGTATTTCAAAACTGCTCAATCAAAAGAGATTTCAACTCTGTGAGATAAATGCACACGTCACAAGGAAGATTCTCCAAATGTTTCTGTGTTGTTTTTATGTGAAGATATTCCCTGTTCCACAATAGGCCTCAAAGCGCTCCAAATATCCACTTGCAGATTCTACAAAAAGAGTGTTTCCAAACAGCTCAATCAACAGTGAGGTTCAACTCTGTGAGATGAATGCACACATCACAAAGAAGTTTCTCAGAATTCTTATGTGTAGTTTTTATGTGAATATATTTCCTTTTCCACCATTGCCAGAAAACTGCTCCAAATATCCACTTGTAGATTCTACAAAAAGAGAATTTCAAAACTGCTCTATCAAAAGATAGGTTCAACTCTGTGAGATGAATGCACACATCACAAAGAAGTTTCTGAGAATGCTTCTGTGTAGTTTTTATGTGAAGATATTTCATTTTCCCCCATAGGCCACAAATCGCTTCAAATATCCACCTGAAAATTCTGCAAAAATAGTGTTTCACAACTGCTCAATCAAAAGAAAGTTTCAACTCTGTGAGATGAATGCACACATCACACAGGAGTTTCTCAGAATCTTCTGTTGCGTTTTTATGTGAAGATATTTCTTTTTGCACCATAGGCCACAAAGGGCTGCAAATATCCACTTGCAGATTCTACAAAAAGGGAGTTTCAAAACTGCTCTATCAAAAGATAGGTTCAACTCTATGAGATGAATGCACACATCACAAACAAGTTTCTCAGAATGCTTCTGTGTAGTTTTCTGTGAAGATATTTCCTTTTCCACAATAGGCCTCAAAGCGATCCAAATATACAACTGCAGATTCTACAAAAAGACTGTTTCAAAGCTGCTCAGTCAAAGGAAATGTTCAACTCTGTGAGATGAATGCACGCAAAGGGAAAAAGTTTCTGAGAATGCTTCTGTGTAGTTTTTATGTGAAGATATTTCCTTTTGCACAATAGGCCTCATAGCACTCCAAATATCCACTTGCAGAATCTACAAACAGAATGTTTCAAAACTGCACAATCATAAGAAAGTTTCAACAATGTGAGATGAATGCACACATCACAAAGAAATTTCTCAGAATGCTTATGTGTAGTTTTTTTTTGAATATATTTCCTTTTCCAACATGGGGCGCAAATGGCTCCAAATATCTATGTTCAGATTCTACAAAAAGAGAGATTCAAAACTGCTCTATGAAAAGATAGTTGCAACTGTGTGAGCTGAATGCACCCATCACAAAGAAGTTTCCCAGAAAGCTTCTCTGTAGTTTTTAAGTGAATATTTTTCCTTTTCCACAATAGGCCTCAAAGCTCTCCAAATATCCACTTGCAGATTCCGCAAAAAAAGAGATTCAAAACTGCTCAATCAAAAGATAGGTTCGACTTTGTGTGTTGAGGGCTCACCTCAAAAAGAAGTTTCTCAGAATGCTTCTGTGTAATTTTCGTGTGAAGATATTTGCTTTTCCACAGTACATAACAAAGCGCTCCAAAAATCCACTTGCAGGGCAAAAAGAGAGATTCAAATCTGCTTAATCAAAAGATAGGTTCAACTCTGTGAGTTGACTGAACCCATTACAAAGAGCTTCTCAGAATGATTCTGTGTAGTTTTTATGTGAAGATATTTCCTTTTCCAAAATAGACCTCAAAGTGCTTCAAAACTGCTCAATCAAAAGAAAGATTCAACTCTGTGAGTTGAATGCACACATCACAAAGAACTTTCTGAGAATGCTTCTCTCTAGCTTTTATGTGAAGATATTCCCGTTTCGAATGAAGGCCTCAAAGAGTTGCAAATATCCACTAGCAGATTCTACAAAAGGAGTGTTTCAAAACTGCTCTATCAAAAGAAAAGTTCAACACTGTGAGTTGAAAGCACACATCAGAAAGAAATTTCTCTGAATGCTTCTGTGTAGTTTTTATTTTAAGATATTTCATTTTCCAGCATACGGTTCAAAGGGCTCCAAATATCCACTTGCAGATTCTACAAAAAGAGAGATACAAAACCTCTCAATCAAAAAATAGTTTCAACCCTATTAGTTGAATGCACACATCAGAAAGTGTTTTGAAACACTTTTTGTAGAATCTGCAAGTGGATACTTGGAGCTCTTTGAGGTCTTCTGTGTGCTGTGTGCATTCAACTCTCAGAGTTAAACCTTTCTTTTGATAGAGCAGATTTGAAACACTCCTTTGGTAGAATATGCAAGTGATTATTCGAGGCGCGTGGAGGCCTACGGTGGAAAAGGAAATATCTTCACATAAAAACTAGGCTGAATCATTCTCAGAATCTTCTTTATGATGTGCACTTTCAAATCACAGAGTTGAAACTTTTTTTGATAGCGCAACTTTGAAACACTCTTTTTGTAGAATCCGCAAGCAAATATTTGGAGCGCTTTGAGGCTTATGGGGGAAAATGAAATATCTTCACATAAAAACTATACAAAAGCATTCTCAGAAACTTCTTTGTGATGTGTACCTTCATCTCAAAGAGTTGGATCTTTCTTTTGATAGAGCAGTTTTGAAACTCTGTTTTTGTAGAATCTTCAACTGGATATTTGGAGGGCTTTGAGCACTATAATGGAAAAGGAAATGTCTCCACATAAAAACAAGACAAAAGCATTCTCAGAAACTTCTTTGTGATGTTTGCATTCAACTCACAAAGTTGAATCTTTCTTTTGATTGAGCAGTTTTGAAACACTCATTCTGTAGAATCAGCAAGTGGATATTTGGAGCGCTTTTAGCTCTATGGTGGAAAAGGAAATATCTTCACATACAAAGAAGACAGAATCATTCTCAAAAACTTCTTTGTGATCTGTACATTTAACCCACAGTGTTGAACCTTTCTTTTGATAGAGCAGTTTTGAAAAACTCTTTTTGTTGAATCTGCAAGTGGATATTTGGAGCACTTTGAGGCCTATGGTGGAAAAGAAAATATCTTCATATAAAAACTAGTAGAGAGAAGCATTCTCAGAAACTCCTTTGTGATGTGTGCATTCAACTCACAGAGTTGAATATTTCTTTTGATAGAGCAGTTTTGAAACATTCTTTTGGTAGAATCTGCAAGTGGATATTTGGAGTGCTTTGAGGACTATGGTGGAAAAGCAAGTATCTGCACAAAAAAACTAGACAGAAGCATTCTCAGCAACTTCTTTGTGATGTGTGCATTCAACTCACAGAGTTGAAACATTCTTTAGATACAGCAGTTTTGAAAACTCTTTTTGTAGAATTCGCAGGATGGATATTTATAGCACTTTGAGGCCTATGGTTTAAAAGGAAATATCTTCACATTAAAACTAGACAGAAGCATTCTCAGCAACTTCTTAGTGATGTGTACATTTAACTACAGAGTTGAATATTTCTTTTGATAGAACAGTTTTGAAAGACTCTTTTTGTAGTATATGCAAGTGGATATTTGGAGGGCTTTGATGCCTACTGTGGAAAAGGAAATATCTTCACATAAAAACTAGACAGAAGCATTCTCAGAAAGTTTTTCTCTGATGTGTGCATTCAACTCACAGAGATGAACCTTTCTATTGATAGGACAGTTTTGAAACCCCCTTTTTGTGGAATCTGCAAGTGTTCATTTGGAGCGCCTTGAGGCCTATGGTGGTGAAGGGAATATCTTCACATAAAAACTAGACAGAAGCATTCTCAGAAACTTCTTTGAGATGTGTGTATTCAACTCCCAGAGTTGAACATTCCTTTTGAGAGAGCAGTTTTGAAACAGTCTTTTTGTAGAATATGCAAGTGGAAATTCAGAACGATTTCAGGCGTATGGTGGAAAAGGATATATCTTCACATAAAAACTAGGCAGAAGCATTCTCAGAAACTTCTTTGTGATGTGTGCATTCAACTTACAGAGTTGAACCTTTCTTTTGGGAGAGCAGTTTCTAAAAAGTCCTTTTGTAGAATCTGCAAATGGAAATTAGGAGCGATTTCAGGCCTGTGGTGGAAAAGGAAATATCTTTGCATGAAAACTTGACAGAAGCATTCTCAGAAACTTCTTTGTCATGTGTGCATTCAACTCACATAGTTCAACATTCACTTTGAGGGAGCAGTTTTGAGACAGTCTTTTTGTGGAATCTGCAAGTTGATATTTGGAGCGATTTGAGGCCTATGGTGCAAAAGGGAAAATCTTCACATAAAAACTAGACAGAAGCATTCTCAGAAACTTCTTTGTGATGTGTGCATTCAACTCACGGAGTTGAACCTTCCTTTTGAGAGAGTAGATTTGAACCAGTCTTTTTGTAGTGTCTGCAAGTGGATATTTGGAGCAATTTGAGGACTATGGTGGAAAAGGAAATATCTTCAAATAAAAACTAGACAGAAGCATTCTCCGAAGCTAATTTGTGATGTGGGCATTCAACTCACAGAGTTAAAACTTTCTTTTGATAGAGCAGTTTTGAAACACTCCTTTTGCGGAATATGCTAGTGGGTATTTGGAGCTCTTTCAGGCCTTCGTTGGAAACGGGAATATCTTCACATAAAAATTAGAACTAGGAATTCTCAGAAATTCTTTGTAATGTGTGCATTCAAGTCACAGAGTTGAACCTTCCTTTTGAGAGAGGAGTTTTGAAACAGTCTTTTTGAAGAATCTGCAGGTGGATATTTGGAATGATTTGAGGCCTGTGTTGGAAAAGGAAATATCTCCATATAAAAGTAGAATTATTCTCAGAAACTACTTTGTGATGTGTGCATTTAACTCAAAGAGTTGAACCTTTGTTTTGATAGAGCAGTTTTGAAACACTCCTTTTGCAGAATCTGCTAGTGGATATTTGGGGCTCTTTGAGGCCTTCGTTGGATACGGGAATATCTTCACATAAAAACTAGACAGAAGGATTCTGAGAAACTTCTTAGTGATGTGTACATTCAACTCACATTGTTCAAACTTCCTTTTGAGAAAGCAGTTTTGAAACAGCTTTTTTGTAGAATCTGCAAGTGGATATTTGGAGTGCTTTGAGGCCTATGGTGGAAAAGGAAATATCTTCACATAAAAACTAGAGAGAAGCATTCTGATAAACTCCTTTGTGATGTGTGCATTCAAGCAAAAAAGTTGAACCTTTCTTTTGATAGAGCAGTTTTGAAACAGTCCTTTTGTAGAATCTGCTAGTGGATATTTGGAGCTCCTTGTAGGCTTCGTTGGAAACGGGAATATCTTCATATAAAAACCAGCAGAAGTAATATTAGAACCTTCTTTGTGATGTGTGAATTCAACTCACAGAGGTGAACCTTTCTTTTCATAGAGCAGTGTTGAAACATTCTTTTTGTAAACCTGTAAGTGTTCATTTGGAGCACTTTCAGGTCTATGGTGGAAAAGGAAATATTTTCACATAAAATCTAGACAGAAGCATTCTCAGAAAATTATTTGTGATGTGCGCATTCAACTCAGAGTTGAACCTTCCTTTTGACAGAGCAGTTTTGAAGCATTCTTTTTGTAGAATCTACAAGTGGATATTTGGAGTGATTTGAGGCCTATGGTGGATAAAAAAAATATCTTCACAGAAAAACTAGACAGAAGGATTCTCAGATTCTTCTTTGTGATGTGTGCATTCAACTAACAGAGTTGAACGTTTCTTTTGATAGAGCATATTTGAAACACTCCTTTTGTAGAATCTGCTAGTGGATACTTGGAGCTCTTTGAGGCCTTCGTTGGAAACGGGAATACCTTCACATAAAAATAAACAGAAGCATTCTCAGAAAGCTCTTTGGATGTGTGCATTGAACTCACAGAGTTGAACCTTTCTATTGATAGAGCAGTTTTGAAACCCCCTTTTTATAGAATCAGCAGGTGTTCATTTGGAGCGCTTTGAGGACTATGGTAGGAAAGGCAATATCTTCACATAAAAACTTGACAGAAGCATTCTCAGAAACACCTTTGTGATGTGTGTGTTCAATTCACAGAGTTGAATCTTTCTTTTGATAGAGCAGTTGCGAAACAGTCTTTTTGTAGAATCTGTAAGTAGATATTTGGAGAGATTTAAGGCCTTTGGTGGAGAAGGAAATATCTTCACATAAAAACAAGACAGAAGCATTCTCAGGAACTTCTTCGTGATGTGTGCATTCAACTCACTGAGTTGAACCTTTCGTTTGCTAGAGCAGTTTTGAAACACTCTTTTTGAAGAATCTGCAACTGTTAATTTGGAGCGCTTTGGTCTATAATGGAAAAGGAAATATCTTCACATAAAAACTTGACAGAAGCATTCTCAGAAACTTCTTTGTGATGTGTGCATTCAACTCACAGAGTTGAATCTTGCTTTTGATGAGAGAGCAGTTTTGAAATAGTCTTTTTGTAGAATCTGCAAGTGGATATTTGGAGTGATTTGAGGCCTATGTTGTAAAAGGAAATATCTTCACATAAAAACTAGACCAAAGCATGCTCAGAAATTTCTTTGTGATGTGTGCATTCAACTAACAGAGTAGAACCTTTGTTTTGATAGAACAGTTTTGAAACACTCCTTTTGTAGAATCTGCTAGTGGATATTTGGAGCTCTTTGAGTCCTTCGTTGGATACGGGAATATCTTCACATAAAACTAGACAGAAGCATTCTCAGAAATTCTTTTTTGATGTGTGACTTCAACTCACAGAGTTTAATCTTCCTTTTGAGAGAGGAGTTTTGAAACAGTCTATTTGTAGCACCTGCAAGTGGATATTTGGAGCGATTTGAGGCCTATGGTGCAAAAGGAAATATCTTCATATAAAACTAGACAGAAGAATTCTCAGAAACTTCTTTGTGATGTGTGCATTCAACTCACAGAGTTGAACTTTTCTTTTGATAGAGCAGATTTGAAACACTCCTTTTGTAGAATCGGCTAGTGGATATTTGGAGGTCTTTGAGTCCTTCGTTGGATATGGGAAAAACTTCACATAAATCTAGATAGAAGCATTCTGAGATACTGCATTGTGATGTGTGAATTCAACTCACAGAGTTGAACCATGCTTTTGATAGATCAGTTTAGAAACACTCTTTTTGTAGAATCTGAAAGTGTTCATTGGGAGCACACTGACGCCTATAGTGGACAAGGAAATATCTTCACATAAAAACTAGACAGAATCATTCTCAGAAACTTCTTTGTGATTTATGCATTCATCTCACAGAGTTGAACCTTTTTTTTGATAGAGCAGATTTGAAACTTTCTTTCGGTATAATCTGCCAGTGTTCATTTTGAGTGCTTTGAGGCCTATGGTGGAAAAGGAAATATCTTCACATAAAAACTAGACTGAAGCATGCTCAGAAAATTCTTTGTGATGTGTGCATTCAACTCACAGAGTTGAACCTTTGTTTTGATAGAGCAGTTTTGAAACTCTCCTTTTGCAGTATCTGCTTGTGGATATTTGGAGCTCTTTGAGGCCTTCGTTGGATACGGGAATATCTTCACATAAAAACTAGACAGTAACATTCTGAGAAACTGCTTTGTGATGTGTGCATTCAACTCACAGAATTCAACCTTCCTTTTGAGAGAGCAGTTTTGAAACAACGTTTTTGTGGAATCTGCAAGTGTATATTTGGATCGACTTGAGGCCTATGGTGAAAAAGGAAATATCTTCACATAAAAACTAGACTGAAGAATTTTCAGAAACTCCATTGTGATGTGTGCATTCAAGCAAGAAAGTTGAACCTTTCTTTTGATAGAGCAGTTTTGAAACACTCCTTTTGTAGAATCTGCTAGTGGATATTTGGAGCTCTCTGTGGCCTTTGTTGGAAACGGGAATATCTTCATAAAAAACCAGCAGAAGCAATCTCAGAAACTTCTTTGTGATGTGTGCATTCAACTCACAGAGTTGATCCTTTCCTTTGATTTAGCAGTTTTGAAACACTCTTTTTGTAGGATCTGCAAGTGGATAATTGAAGTGCTTTGAGGCCTATGGTGGAAAGGGAAATATCTTCACATAAAAACTAAACAGAAGCATTCTCAGAAACTACTTTGTGATGGGTTCATTCAAGTGACAGAGTTGAACCTTTCTGTTGATAGAGCAGATTTAAAACACTCTTTTTGTAGAATCTGCAAGTGGATAGTTTTAGCGCTTAGAGTCCAATGGTGAAAAAGGAAATATCTTCACATAAAAACTAGACTGAATCATTCTCGGCAACTTCTTTATGATGTGTGAATTCAACTCACTGAGTTAAACCACTCTTTTGATGGAGCAGTTTAGGAACTCTCTTTTGTAGAATCTGGAAGTGGATATTTGGAGTGCTTTGAGTCCTATGGTGGAAAAGGAAATATCTTCACATAAAAACTAGACAGAAACAATCTCAGAAACTTCTTTGTGATGTATACATTCAACTCTCAGAGATGAACCTTTCCTTTGATAGGCCAGTTTTGAAACAGTGTTTTTGTAGAATCTGCAAGTGGATAGTTTTAGTGCTTTAAGTCCAAAGGTGGAAAAGGAAATATCTTCAAATAAAAATGAGACAGAAGCATTCTCAGCAACTTCTTTGTGATGCGTGAATTCAACTCACAGAGTTGAACTTTTCTTTTGATGGAGTACTTTAGAAACACTCTTTTTGTAGAATATGCAAGTGGATATTTGGAGTGCTTTGAGTCCTATGCTGGAAAAGGAAAAATCTTTACATAAAAACTAGACAGAAACAATCTCAGAAACTTCTTTGTGATGTGTGCCCTCAAGTCACAGAGTTGAATCTTTCTTTTGAATCAGCAGTTTTGAAACACACTTTTTGTTGAATCTGCAACTGGATATTTGGAGTGCTTTGAATAATACAGTGGAAAAGGAAATATCTTCACATAAAAACTAGATAGAAGCATTCTCATAAACTTCTTTGTGATGTGTGCATTCAACTCACAGAGATGAACTGTTCTTTTGATAGAGCAGTTTTGAAACAGTGTTTTTGTAGGGTCTGCAAGTGCATATTTAGAGCGCTTTGAGGCCTACTGTGGAAAAGGAAATACCTTCAACAAAAAAACAGAAACATTCTCTGAAACTTCTTTGTGATGTGAGCATTCATCTCACAGTGTTGAAACTTTCTTTTGATTGAGCAATTTTGAAACACTCTTTTTGTAGAATCTGTAACTGGATATTTGGAGGGCTTTGAGATCTATGGTGGAAAAAGAAAGATCTTCAGATAAAAACCAGACAAAAGAATTCTCAGAAACTTCTTTGTGATGTGTGAATTCAACTCACAGAGTTGAACCTTTTTTTTGAAAGAGCAGTTTTGAAGCACACTTTTTGTGTAATCTGGAATCTTATCTTTGGAGCGCTTTGAGGCCTACTGTGGAAAAAGAAATATCTTCACATAAAAACTAGACAGAAGCATTCTCAGAAAGTTCTTTTTGATTTGCACATTCAACTCACACTGTGGAAGCTCTCTTTTGATTGAGCAGTTTTGAAAGACGCTTTTTGTAGAAACTACAAGTGGATAATCACACCTCTTTGAGGCCTATGGTGGAAAAGGAAATATCTTCACATAAAAACTAGACAGAAGCATTCTCAGAAACTACTTAGTGATGTGTCCATTCAACTGAGAGATTTGAACCTTTCTTTTGATAGAACAGTTTTAAAATACACTATTTGTAGAATCTGCAAGTGCATAGTTTTAACGGTTTGAGTCCAATGGTGGAAAAGGAAATACCTTCAAATAAAAACCTGCCAGAAGCATTCTCAGCAACTTTGTGATGTGTGAATTCAACTCACAGAGTTGAACCTATCTTTTGATGGAGCAGTTTAAAAACACTCTTTTTGTAGAATTTGCAAGTGGTTATTTGGAGCACTTTGAGTCCTATGGTGGAAAAGGATACATCTGCACATAAAAACTAGACAGAAACAATCTCAGAAACTTCTTTGTGATGTGTGCATTCAACTCACAGAGTTGAACCTTTCCTTTGATAGAGTGGTTTTGAAACAATCTTTTTATAGAATCCACAAGTGGATATTTGTAGCACTTTGGTGCCAATGGTGGAAAAGGAAATGTCTTCACCTAAAAACTAGAAAGAAGCATTCTCAGAAACGGCTTTGTGATGTGTGCATTCAACTCACAGAGTTGAACCTTTCTTTTGATAGAGCAGTTATGAATGACTCTTTTTGTGGAATCTGCAAGTGGATATTTGGAGAGCTTTCAGGCCTATGGTGGAAAAGGAAATATCTTCACATAAAAACTAGACAGAAGCATTGTCAGAAACTACTTTGTGATGTGTGCATTCAAATCACAGAGCTGGAACTTTCCTTTGATTTAGCAGTTTTGAAACACTCTTTTTGTAGGATCTGCAAGTGGATAATTGAAGCACTTTGAGGCCTATGGTGGAAAAGGAAATATCTTCACATAAAAACTAAACAGAAACATTCTCAGAAACTACTTTGTGATGGGTGCATTCAAGTGACAGAGTTGAACTTTCCTTTTGATAGAGCAGATTTAAAACACTCTATTTGTAGAATCTGCAAATGGATAGTTTTAGCGCTTAGAGTCCAATGGTGAAAAAGGAAATATCTTCACATAAAAACTAGACAGAATCATTCTCGGCAACTTCTTTGTGATGTGTGAATTCAACTCATAGATTTGAACCGTTCTTTTGATGGAGCAGTTTAGGAACTCTCTTTTTGTAGAATCTGCAAGTGGATATTTGGAGTGCTTTGAGTCCTACGGTGGAAAAGGAAATATCTTCACATAAAAACTAGACAGAAACAAACTAATAAACTTCTTTGTGATGTGTACATTCAACTCACAGAGTTGAACCTTTCTTTTGATAGAGCAGTTTTGAAACACCTTTTTTGTAGAATCTGCAATTGGATATTTTTTACACATTGGGGCCAATGGTGGAAAAGGAACTGTCTTCACATAAAAACTAGACAGAAGCATTCTCAGAAACTTCTTTGTGATGTGTGCATTCAACTCACGGATTTAAACCATTGTTTTCATTGAGGAGTTTGAAACACTCTTTTTGTAGAATATGCAAGTGGATATTTGGAGTGCTTTGAGGCCTATGGTATATAACGAAATATCTTCACATAAAAACCAGACAGAAACATTCTCAGAAACTTCTTTGTGATGTGTGCATTCAACACACAGAGTTGAAACGTTATTTTGATAGAGCAGTTTAGAAAACCTGTTTTGGTAGAATCTGCAAGTGGATATTTTGAGCACTTTGAAGCCTATGGTGGAAAAGGAAATATCTTCACATAAAAACTAGGCAGAAGCATTCTCAGAAACACCTTTGAGATTTGCTTATTTAACTCACAGAGCTAAACCTTTGTTTTGATAGAGCAGTTTTCACACACTCTCTTTGTAGAAACTGCCAGTGGATATTTTGAGTGCTTTGAGGCATATGGTAGAAAGGAATTATCTTCACATAAAAAGTAGACAGAGGTGTTCTCAGAAACTCTTTGGGATGTGTGCATTGAACTCGCAGAGCTGAAATTTTCTTTGGATAGAGCAGTTATGAAACATTCTTTTTGTAGAGTCTGAAATTGGATATTTGGAGTGCTCTGAGGCCTATGTTGTAAAATGAAATATCTTCAAATAAAAAGTGGACAGAAGCATTCTCAGATACTTCTTTGTGATGTGTGCTTTCAACTCACAGAGTCGAACCTTTCATTGGATAAAGCAGTTTTTAAGCACTCTTAGCAATATCTGCAAGTGGCTATTTGGAGTACGTTGAGGCCTATGGTGGAAGAGGGAATATCTTCACAAGAAAAGTAGACGAATCATTCTAAGAAACTTGTTTGTGACGTGTGCATTCAACACAAATAGTTGAACCTTTCTTTTAATGGAGCAGTTTAGAAACACTCTTTTTGTAGAATCTGCAAGTGGATATTTAGAGTGCTTTGAGTCCAATGGTGGAAAAGGAAATATCTTCACATAAAAACTAGACGGAAGCATTCTCAGAAACTTCCTCATGAGGTGTGTATTCAACTAACAGAGTTGAACCTTTCTTTTGATACAGCAGTTTTGAAACACTCTTTTTCTAGACTCTGCAAGTGGATATTTTGAGTGCTTTGAGGCCTACGGTAGAAAAGGAAATATCTTCCCAAAAAAACTAGACAGAAGCATTCTCAGAAACTTCATTGTGATGTGTGCATTCAACACACAGCGCTTAACCTTCCTTTTGACAGAGCAGTTTTGAAACAGTCTTTTTGTAGAATCTGCAGGTGGATATTTGGAGCACTTTGAGGCCTTCCATGGATAAGGAAATATCTTCACAAAAACTAGACAGAAGCAATTTATGAAACTTCTTTGTGATGTGTGCATTAAATCACAGTGTTGAATATTTCTTTTGTTAGAGCAGTTTCAAACAACGTTTTTGTAGAATCTGCTTGTGGATATTTGGAGCGCTATGAGGCTTACAGTGGAAAAGAAAATGTCTTCACATAAAGGCCAGACAGAAGTATTCTCAGAAACAGTTTTTGTGTGTGCATTCAACTCACAGAGCTGAACATTTCTTTTGATAGAGCAGTTTTGAAACACTCTTTTGTTAGTAATTGCAAGTGGATATTTGGAGCGCTTTGAGGCCAGTGGTGGAAAAAAAAATATCTTCACATAAAAACTACACAGAAGCATTCTGGGAAACTTCTTTGTGATGTGGGCATTTCAGTCACAGAGTTGAACCTTTCTTTTGATGGAGCAGTTTGAAACACTCTTTTTGTAGTATCTGCAAGTGTATATTTGGAGTACCTAGAGGCCTATGGTTGAAGAGGAAATATCTTCACATAAAAACTATGCAGACCCATTCTCAGTAAGTTCTTTGGGATGTGTGCATTAAACTCACAGAGTTGAACCTTTCTTTTGATAGAGCAGGTTTAAAACACTCTTTTTGTAGGATCTGCAAGTGGATATTTGGAGTGCTTTGAGGCCTATGCTGCAAAAGCAAATATCTTCACATAAAAATAAGACAGAAGCATTTTCAGAAGCTACTTTGTGATGTATGAATTCAACTCACAAAGTTGAACCTTTCCTTTGATAGAGCAGTTTTGAAACACTCTGTTTGTAGAATCTGCAAATGGATATTTGGAGGGCTTTAAGGCCAGTAGTGGAAAAGGAAATAGCTTTGCATAAAAACTAGACAGAAGCAGTCTCAGAAACTTCTTTGTGATGTGTGCATTCAGCTCACAGAGTTTTATTTTTCTTTTGATAGATCAGTTTTGGAACACACTTCTTGTAGAATCTGCAAGTGGATATTGGGAGCGCTTTGAGGACTATGGTGGAAAAGGAAATATCTTAAGCTAAAAACAAGAAAGAAGCATTCTCAGAAGTTACTTTGTGATATGGGCGTTCAACTCCCAGAGTTTAAACTTTCTTTTGATTGAGCAGATTTGAAACTTTCCTTTTGTGGAATCTGCAAGTGGATATTTGGAGTACTTTCAGGTCTATGGTGAAAAACGAAATATCTTCACATAAATACTAGATAGAAGCATTCTCAGAAAGTTCTTACTGATGTGTGCATTCAGCTCACAGAGTTGATCCTTTCCTTTGATTGAGCAGTTTTGAAAAACTCTTTATGTAGAATCTGCAAGTGGATATTTGGAGCAACTTGAGGCATAAGGTGGAAAAGGAAATATCTTCATATAAAAACTAGACAGAAGTATTCTCAGAAACTTCTTTGTGATGTGTGCATTCAACTCACTGAGTTGAACCTTTCTTTTGATTGAGCAGTTTGAAATACTCTTTTTGTAGAAACTGTAAGTGGATATTTGGAGTGCTTTGAGGTCTATAGTTGAAGTGGAAACATCTTCACACAAAAACTAGACAGAAGCAGTCTCATAAACTTCTTTGTGATGTCTACATTCAACTCACAGAGCTGAACCTTTCTTTTGATTGAGCAGTTTTGAAAAGCACTTTCTGTAGTGTCTGGAAGTGTATATTTGGAGCACTCTGAGGCCTAGGGTGGAAAAGGAAACATCTTCACATAAAAACTAGAAAGAACCATTCTCAGAATCTTCTTTGTAATGTGTGCATTCAACTCACAGAGTTTAACCTTTCTTTTGAAAGAGCAGTTTTCAAACGCTCTTTTTGTAGAGTCTGCAAGTGGATATTTTTAGCATTTTGTGGCCAATGGTGGAAAAAGAAATATCTTTGCATAAAAACTAGCCAGAAGCATTCTAAGAAACATTTTTGTGATGTTTGCATTGAACTCACAGAGTTAAGTGGCTCTTTTGATTGAGGAATTCTGAAACATTCTTTTTGTAGAATCTGCTAGTGGATATTTGGAGTGCTTTGAGGCCTATGGTGGAAAAAGAAATACCTTCTTATAAAAACTAGACAGAAGCATTCTCAGAAACTTCTTTGTGACGTGCGCATTCAACTCACAGAGTTTAATCCTTCTTTTGATTGAACAGTTTTGAAACACTTTTTGTAGAATCTGCAAGTGGATATTTGGAGCGCTTTGAGGCCTATGGTTTAAAAGAAAGAAGTATCTTCACATAAAAACGCCCAGAAGCATTTTCAGAAACTTCTTTGTGATTTGTGCATTCAACTCACAGTGTTGAACCTTTCTTTTGATAGAGCATTTTGAAACTCTCTTTTTATAGAATCTGCAAGTCGATATTTTTAGCGCTTTGAGGCCTATGTTGGAGAAGGAAATATCTTCACATTTAAACTGGACAGAAGAATTCTCAGAAACATCTTTGTGATGTGTGCATTCAACTCACAGATGTGAACTTTTCTTTAGATTGAGCAGTTTTGAAACGCACTTTCTGTAGAGTCTGCAAGTCGATATTTGGATCTTTTTGAGGCCTAGGGTGGAAAAGGAAATGTCTTCACATAAAACTAGACAGAAGCATTCCCAGAAAGTAGTTTGTAATGTGTGCATTCAACTCACAGAGTTGAACCTTTCTTTTGATTGAGCAGTTTTGAAGCACTCTTTTTATATTATCTGCAAGTGGATATGGGAAGGGCTTTGAGGCCTTTTGTGGAAAAGGATATATCTTAAAATTAAAACTACACATCAGCATTCTCAGAAACTTATTTGTGATGTATGCATTCATCTCACAGAGTTGAACCTTTCTTTGATTGAGCTGTTTGGAAACACTCTTTTTGTAGAATTTTCAATAGGATATTTGGAGTGCTATGAGGCCTACGTTGGAAAAGCAAATATCTTCTCATGAAAACTACACAGAAGAATTCTGATAAACTTATTTTTGATGTGTGCATTCAACTCACAGAATTGAACCTATCTTTTGATTGAGCAGTTTTGAATCTCTCTTTTGGTAGAATCTGCAAGTGGATATTTGAAGCCCTTTGTGTCATTTTTTGGAAAGGGAAATACCTTCACATAAAAACCACACAGAAGCATTCAGAGATCCTTCTTTGTGATGTGTGCATTCATCTCACAGAGTTGAACCTTCCTTTTGATTGAGCAGTTTTGAAACACTAGTTTTATAGAATCTGCAATTGGATATTTGAAGCGCTTTGAGGCCTATTGTGGAAAAGGAAACATCTTCACATGAAAGCAACAGAAGCATTCTCAGAAACTTACTTGTTATGTGTGCATTCATCTCAGAGAGTTGAACCTTTCTTTTGCTTGAGCAGTTTGGAAACACACTTTTTTTAGAATCTGCAAGTAGATATTTGGACCGCTTTGAGGCCTATCATGGAAAAGAAAATATCTTCACATAACAACTACACAAAAGCATTCTGAGAAACTTCTTTGTGATGTGTGCATTCATTTTACAGAGTTCAAACTTTCTTTTGACTGAGCAATTTATAAACCCTCTTTTTATAGAATCTGCAAGTGGATATTTGGAGCCCTTTGAGGTCAATTGTGGAAAAGGAAATGTCTTCACATAAAAACTACATAGAAGCATTCTGAGAAACATCTTTGTGATGTGTGCATTCAACTCACAGATCGTAACCTTTCTTTTGATTGAGCAGTTTTGATACACTCTTTTATAGAATCTGCAAGTGGATTTGTGAAGCACTTTGAGGCAATTTGTGGAAAAGGAAATATCTTCACATTAAAACTGCAGAGAAGCATTCTCAGAAGCTTCTTTGTGATGTGTGCATTCATCTCACAGAGTTAAAACCGTCTTTCGATTGGGCAGCTTGGAAACACTCTTTCTATAGAATCTGCAACAGGATATTTGAAGCCCTTTGAGGCCTATGGTGGAAAAGGAAATATCGTCACATAAAAACTTCACAGAAGCATTTTGAGAAACTTCTTTGTGATGTATGCATTCATCTAACAGAGTTAAAGCTTTCTTTTGATTGAGCAGTTTTGAAACACTCTTTTTATAAAATCTGTAAGTGGATATTGGGAGGGTTTTGAGGTCTATATTGGAAAAGGAAATATCTTCACATAGAAACTACACACAAGCATTCTCAGAAACTTCTTTGTGATGTGTCCATTCATCTCACAGAGTCTGATTTTTCTTTTGATTGAGCAGTTTTGAAACACTCTTTTTGTAGATCTGCAAGTCGATATTTGGAGCACTTTGAGGCCTTTCATGGAAAAGGAAATATCTTCACATAAAAACTACACGGAAGTGCTCTGAGGAACTTCTTCATGATGTTTGCATTCAACTCACAGAGTTGAACCTTTCTTTTGATTGAGCAGTTTTGAAACACTCTTTTTATAGACTCTGCAAGTGGATATTTGAAGCCTTTTGAGGCCTATTGTGGAAAGGGAAATATCTTCACCTAAAAACTACACAGATGCATTCTCAGAAACTTTTTAGTGATGTGTGCCTTCATCTCACAGAGTTGAATATTTCCTTTGATTGAGCAGTTTTGAAACACTCTTTTTTAGAATCTGCAAGTGGATATTTGTAGTGCTTTTAGGCCAATTGTTGAAAAGAAAATATCTTCCCATAAAAACTACACAGAAGCATTCTGAGAAACTACTTTCTGATGTGTGCATTCATCTCATGGAGTTGTACCTTCCTTTTGATTGAGCAGTTTGGAAACTCTCTTTTTGCAGAATCTGCAAGTGGATATTTCGAGTGCTTTGAGGCCTATTGTGGTAGAGGAAATATCTTCACATAAAAACTATGCAGAAGCATTCTGAGAAACTTCTTTGTGATGTGTACTTTAAACTCACAGAGTTGTACCTATCTTTTGATTGAGCTTTTTTGAATGTCTCTTTTTGTAGAATCTGCAAGTGGCTCTTTGGAACCCTTTGTGAACTATTTTGGAATGGGATTTATCTTCACATGAAAACTACACAGAATCATTCTGAGAAACTTGTTTGTGATGTGTGCATTCATGTCACAGAATTGAACCTTTCTTTTGATTGAGCAGTTTTGAAACGCTCTTTTTATAGAATCTGCAAGTGGATATTTGAAGAGCTTTGATGCCTATTGTGGAAAAGGAAATATCTTCCCATAAAAACTACACGAAAGCATTCTCAGAAACTTATTTGTGATGTGTGTATTCATCTCACAGAGTTAAAACTTCCTTTTGATTGAGCGGTTTGGAAACACTGTTTTTGAAGAATCTGCAAGTGGATATGTGGAGCGCTTTGTAGCCTATTGTGGAAAAGGAAATGTATTCACATGAAAACTACACAGAAGCATTCTGAGAAACTTCTCTCTGATGTGTGCATTCATCTCACAGAGTTGAACCTTCCTTTTGATTGGGCAGTTTGGAAACACTCTTATTCTAGAATCTGCAAGTGAATATTTCCAGCACTTTGTGGCCTAATGTGGAAAGGGAAATATCTTCACATAAAAACTACATAGAAGCATTCTGAGAAACTTCTTTGTGATATGTGCATTCAACTCACTGATTTGAACCTTTCCTTTGATTGAGCAGTTTATAAAAACTTTTTTTGTAGAATCCGCAAGTGGATATATGAAGCGCTTTGAGGCCAATGGTGGAAAAGGAAATATCTTGATGTAAAAACTACACAGAAGCATTCTGAGAAACTTCTTTGTGATGTGTGCATTCATCTCACAGAGTTGAACCTTTCTTTTGATTGAGCAGTTTGGAAACACACACATCACAAAGAAGTTTCTCAGATTGTTTCTGTCTAGATTTTATGTGAAGATATTTCCTTTTCTACCATAGACCGCAAACCGTTCTAAATGTCCACTTGCAGATTCTACAAAAAGAGTGTTTCCAAACTGTTCAATCATAAGAAAGGTTCAACTCTGTGAGATGAACGCCCACATCACAAAGAAGTTTCTCAGAATTCTTCTGTCTTTTTTTACGTGAAGATACTTCCTTTTCCACCATAGGCCACAAAGCGATCAAAATGTCCACTTGCAGATTCTGCAAAAACAGAGTGTCCAAAGTGCTCAATCAAAAGAAAGGTTTAACTCTGTGAGATGAATGCACACATCTCAAAGGAGTTTCTCAGATTGCTTCTGTCTAGATTTTATGTGAAGACAAATCCTTTTCAACCATAGGCCTCAAAGTGCTACAAATGTCCCTTGCAGATATTACAAAAAGAGATTTTAAAAACTGCTCATTCAAAGAAAGGTTTAACTCTGTGAGATGAATGCATACATCACAAAGAAGTTTGTCAGATTGCTTCTGTCTAGATTTTATGTGAAGATATTTCCTTTTCTACCATAGGCCACAAAGCTCCCCAAATGTCCACTTGCATATTCTACAAAAACAGTGTTCCCAAACTGCTCAATAAAAAGAAAAGTTCAACTCTGTAAAATGAATGCACACATCACAGAGAAGTTTCTGAGAATTCCTCTGTTTAGTTTTTATGTGAAGATATTTTCTTTTCCACCACAGTCTTCAAAGCTCCCCAAATATCCACTTGCAGATTCTACAAAAAGAGAGATTACAAACTGCCCAATCAAAGGAAATATTCAACTCTGTGAGATGAAGGCACACATCACTAAAAAGTTTCTGAGAATGCATCCGTGTAGTTTTTAGGTGAAGATATTTCCCTTTCTACTACAAGCCATAAAGCCTTCCAAATAGCCACTTGCAGAATCTAGAAAAAGAGTATTTCCAAACTGCTCAATGAAAAGAACGTACAACAATTTGAGATGAACGCACATATCACAAATAAGTTTCTCAGAATTCTTCTCTCTAGTTTTTATGTGAAAATATTTCCTTTTGCACCATAGGCCTCAAAGCGCTCCAAATGTACACTTGTGGAATCTACAAAAAGAGAGTTTCAAAACTGCTCAATCAAAAGAAAGGTTTAACTCTGTGAGATCAATGCACCCATCAAAAAGAAGTTTCTCCAAATTCTTCTGTGTAGATTTTATGTGAAGATATTTCCTTTTCCACCATAGGCCTCAAAGCGCACCAAATGTCCACTTGCAGATTCTACAAAAAGGGAGTTTCAAAACTGCTCAATCAAAGCAAAGCTTCAACTTTGGGAGATGAAGGCACACATGACAAAGAAGTTTTTCAGAATTCTTTGGTCTACTTTTTATGTGAAGTATTTCCTTTTCCACCATAGGCCTCAAAACATTCCAAAAGTCCACTTGCAGGTTCTACAAAAAGAGAGTTTCAAAACTGCTCAATCAAAAGAAACGTTCAACTCTTTGACATGAATGCACTCATCACAAAGATGTTTCTCAGAATTCTTCTGTCTAGTTTTTATGTGAAGATATTTTCTTTTCCAACATAAGCCTCAAAGCACTCCAAATGTTCAGTTGCAGATTCTACAAAAAGAGATATTCAAAACTGCTCAATCAAAAGAGAGGCTTAACTTTTTGACATGAAAGCACACATCACAATGAAGTTTCTCAGATTGCTTCTGTCTAAATTTTATGTGAAGATATTTCATTTTCTACTGTAGGCCGGAAAGTGCTCCAAATGTCCACTTGCAGATTCTACAAAGAGAGTGTTTCCAAACTGCTCAATCAAAAGAAAGTTTCAACCCTGTGAGATGAACGCACACATCAGAAAGAAGTTTCACAGAATTCTTATGTCCGGTTCTTATGTGAAGATATTTCCTTTTGCACCACAGGCCTCAAAGCGCTCAAAATGTCCACTTGCAGATTCTACAAAAACAAATTTTCAAAACTGCTCCATTAATAGAAAGATTTAGCTATGTGAGATGAATGCACACATTACAAACAAGTTTCTCAGATTGCTTCTGTCTAGATTTTATGTGAAGATATTTGCTTTTCTACCGCAGGCCACAAAACTCTCCAAATGTCCAATTGCAGATTCTCCAAACAGAGTGTTTAAAAACTGCTCAATCTAAAGAAAGTTTCAACTCTGTGAGATGAACGCACATATCACAAAGAAGTTTCTCAGATTGCCTCTGTCTAGTTTATGTGAAGATAATTCCTTTTCCACCATAGGCTGCAAAGCTCTCCAAATGTTCACTTGCAGATTCTACAAATGAGAGTTTGAAAACTGCTCAATCAAAGGAAAAGTTTAACTCTGTGAGATGAATGCACATATCACAAAGAAGTTTCTCAGATTGCTTCTGTCTAGATTTTATATGAAGATATTTTCTTTTCTACCATAGGATGCACTCCAAATGTCCACTTGCAAATTCTACAAAAAGAGGGTTTCCAAACTGCACAATCAAAAGAAAGGTTCTACTCTGTGAGATGAACACACAAATCAAAAAGTAGTTTCTCAGAATTCTTCTATCTGGTTTTTCTGTGAAGATATTTCCTTTTCCACCATAGGCCTCAAAGTGATCAAAATGTCCAATTGCAGATTCTGCAAAAAGAGAGTTTCCAAAGTGCTCAATCAAAAGAAAGGTTAAACTCCGTGAGATGAATGTACAGATCTCAAAGAATTTTCTGAGAATGCTTCTGTCTAGATTTTATGTGAAGATATTTCCTCTTTTACCACAGGCCACAAAGCGCTCCAAATGTCCAATTGAGGATTCTACAAAAAGAGAGTTTGAAAACTACTCAATCAAAAGAAAGGTTTAACTCTGTGAGATGAATGCACACATCACAAAGAAGTTTCTCAGATTGCTTCTGTCTACATTTTATGTGAAGATATTTCCTCTTCTACCATAGGCTTCAAAGCGCTCCAAATGTCCTCTTGCAGATTCCACAAAAAGAGATTTTCAAAACTGCTCAATCAAAGGAAAGGTTTAACTCTGTGAGTTGAATGCACACTGCACAAAGAGGTTTCTCAGATTGCTTCTGTCTAGATTTTATGTGAAGATATTTCCTTTTCTACCATAGGCCGCAAAGCGCTCCAAATGTCCAGTTGCAAATTCTCCCAAAAGGGTGTTTCCAAACTGCTCTATCAAAAGAAACGTTCAACTCTGTGAGATGAAAGCACACATCACAAAGAAGTTTCTCAGAATTCTTCTGTCTAGTTTTTATGTGAAGATATTTCCTTTTCCACCATAGTCTCAAAGCACCCCAAACGTCCACTTGCAGATTGTACAAAAAGAGTTTCAAAACTGCTCAATCAGAAGAAAGGTTTAACTCTGTGAGATGAACGCACACTTCACAAAAAAGTTCCTCAGTTTGCTTCTGTCTAGATTTTATGTGAAGATAGCTCCTTTTCCACTGTAGGCCGCAACGTGCTAAAAATGTCCACTTTCAGATTCTACAAAAAGAGAGTTTGAAAACTGCTGAATCAAAAGAAAATTTTAACTATGTGAGATGAATGCACACATCACGAAGAGATTTCTCAGATTGCTTCTGTCTAGATTTTATGTGAAGATATTTTCTTTTCTACCAGGCTGCAAAGTGCTCCAAATGTCCACATGAAGATTCTACAGAAAGAGAGTTTGAAAACTTCTCAATCAAAAGAAAGGTACAACTCTGTGAGATGAACCCACACATCAAAAAGGAGTTCTTCAGAATTCTTCTGTCTATTTTTTATGTGAAGATATTTCCTTCTCCATGGAAGGCCTCAAGGCGCTTGAAATGTCCACTTGCAGATTCTACAAAAAGAGTATTTCAAAACTGGTCATTCAAAAGAATGGTTCAACTCTGTGAGATGAATGCACACATCCAAAGAAGTTTCTCAGAATTCTTCTGTCTAGTTTTCATGTGAAGATATTTCCTTTTCCAACATAGTCCTCAAAGTGCTACAAATGTCCGCTTGCAGATTCTACAAAAAGAGTTTAAAAAGTGCCCAATCAAAAGAGAGATTTAACTCTGTGAGGTGAATGCATACTTCACAAAGAAGTTTCTCAGCTTGCTTCTGTCTGTCTACTTTTCTACCATAGGCTGCAAAGCGCTCCAAGTGTCCAAAGGCAGATTCTGCAAAAAGAGTGCTTGCAAACTACTCAATCAAAAAAGAGATTCAACTCAGTGAGATGAATGCACACATCACAAAGAAGTTTCTCAGAATTCTTCTGTCTAGTTTTTTGGTGACAATATTTCCTTTTCCAGGATAGGCCTCAAAGCACTCCAAACATCCAATTGCAGATTCTGGAAAAAGATTGTTTCAAAACTGCTCTATCAAAAGAATGGTTCAGCTCTGTGAGTTGAAATGACACATCGCAAAGAAGTTTCTAAGAAAGCTTCAGTCTAGTTTTTTTGTGAAGATATTTCGTTTTCAACCATATGCCTCAAAGACCTCCAAATATCCACTGGCAGATTCTACAAAAAGAGTGTTTCAAAACTGCTCTATCAAAGGAAAGGTTCAACTCTGTGAGTTGAATGCACACATCACAAAGATGTTTCTGAGAATGCTTATGTCTACTTTTTCTGTGAAGATATTTCCTTTTGAAGCATAAGACACAAAGCACTCCAAATATCTACTTGCAGATTCTACAAAAAGAGTGTTTTAAAACTGCTGTATCAAAAGAAAGGTTCAACTTTGTGAGTTGAATGCACACATCACAAAAAAGTTTCTGAGAGTGCTTCTGTTTAGTTTCTCTGTGAAGATATTTCCTTTTCCACCATAGGCCTCAAAGCGCTCCAAATATCCACCTGCAGATTCTACAGAAAGAGTGTTTCAAAACTGCCCTCTATCAAAAGAAAGTTTCCCCTCTGTGAGTTGAATGCACACATCACAAAGTGCTTTCTGAGAATGCATCTGTCTAGTTTTTATGAGAAAATATATCCTTTTCCACGAAAGGCCTCAAAGCATTCCAAATATCCACTTACAGATTCTACAAAATGAGTGTTTCAAAACAGCTCTATCAAAAGAAAGGTTCAACTCTGTGAGTTGAACGCACACATCATAAAGAAGTTTCTGAGAATGCTTCTGTCTAGTTTTTATGTGAAGATATTTCCTTTTCCACCGTAGTCCTCAAAGCCCTCAAAATATCCAATTGCAGATTCAACAAAAAGAGTGTTTCAAAACTGCTCTATCAAAAGAAAGGTTCAACTCTGTGGGTTGAATGCACACATCACAAAGTACTTTCTGAGATTGCATCTGTCTAGTATTTATGTGAAGATATTTCCTTTTCCACCATGTGCCTCAAACCTATCCAAATATCCAATTGCAGATTCTACAAAAAGAGTGTTTCAATACTGCTCTATCAAAAGAAAGATTCAGTTCTGTGAGCTGAATGCACACATCACAATGATGTCTCTGAGAATGCTTCCGTTTAGTTTTTGTGTGAAGTTATTTCCTTTTCCACCATAGGCTTCAAATCACTCCAAATGTCTAGGTGGAGATGCTACAAAAAGAGAGTTTCAAAACTGCTCTATCAAAAGAAAGGTTTAACTCTGTGAGGTGTATGCACAAATCACAAAGAAGTTTCTGAGAATGCTTCTCTCAAGCGTTTATGTAAAGATATTCCCGTTTCCAACAAAGGACACAAAGCACTCCAAATATCCAGTTGCAGTTTCTACCAAAAGAGTGTTTAAAAACTGCTCTATGAACAGGTATGTTCAACTCTGTGAGTTGAATGCTTACATCACATCGAAGTTTCTGAGAATGCTTCTGTCTAGTTTTTATGTGAAGATATGTCCTTTTCCACCATAGGCCTCAAATCGTTCGAAATATCCACTTCTGATTCTACAAAAAGACTGTTTCAAAACTGCTCTATCAATAGAAAGGTTCAACTCTCTGAGTTGAGGGCAAACATCACAAAGAAGTTTCTGAGAATGCTTCTGTCTAGTTTTTTTGTGAAGATACTTCCTTTTCCACTATAGGCCTCAAAGCACTCCAAATATACACTTGAGGATTCTACAAAAAGAGTGTTTCACAACTGCTCTATCAAAAGAAATGTTCAACTCTGTGAGTTAAATGCACACATCACAAAGATGGTTCTGAGCATGCTACTGTCTCATTTTCATGTGGAGATATTTTCTCTTCCACCAATGGCCTCAAAGCGCTCCAAAGATCTACCTGCAGATTCTACAAAAAGAATGTTTCAAAACTGCTCTATCAAAAGAAAGGTTCAATTCTATGAGTTGAAGGCACACATCACAAAGGTGTTTCTGAGAATGCTTCTGTCTACTTTTTCTTTGAAGATATTTCCTTTTAGATCATAAGCCCCAAAGCCCTCCAAATATCTACTTGCAGATTCTACAAAAAGAGTGTTTTAAAACTGCTGTATCAAAAGAAAGGTTCAACCTTGTGAGTTGAATGCACAAATCATGAAGAAGTTTCTGAGAATGCTTCTGTTTATTTTTTCTGTGGAGATATTTTCTTTTCCACCATAGGCCCCAAAGCGCTCCAAATATCCACTTGCAGATACTACAAAAACACTGTTTCAAAACTACTCTCTCAAAACTACTCTCTCAACTCACAGATTTGAATGCACACATCACAAAGCAGTTTCTGAGAATGCTTCTAGTTTGTATGTGAAGATATCCCATTTACAACGAATTCCTCAAAGAGCTCCAAATATCCACAAGCAGATTCTACAAAAGGTGTCTTTCAAAACTGCTCTATCAAAAGAAATGTTCAACTCTGTGGTTGAATGTACACATCACAAAGAAATTTCTGAGAATGCTTCTGTCTAGTTTTTATGTGAAGATGTTTCCTTTTCCACCGTAGGCCTCAAACCTTTCCAAACATCCACTTGCAGATTCTACAAAAATAGTGTTTCAAAGCTGCTCAATCAAAAGAAATTTTCAACCCTGTGAGTTGAATGCACACATCACAAAGTAGTTTTTGAGAATGCTTCTGTCTAGTTTTTGTGGGAATATATTTCCTTTTCCTCCATAGGCCTCAAAGCGCTCCAAATATCCACTTGCAGATTCTACTAAAACAGTGTTTCAAAACTCCTCTATCAAAAGAAAGGTTCTACTCTGTGAGTTGAATGCACACCTCACAGAGAAGTTTCTGAGAATTCTTCTGTCTAGTTTTTATGTGAAGGTATTCCCATTTCCACCATAGGCCTCATAGCACTCCAAATATCCACGGGCAAATTCTACAAAAAGAGTGTTTCAAACTGCTCTATCAAAAGGAAGCTTCAACCATGTGAGTTGAATGCAGACTTCACAAAGAAGTTTCTGAGAATGCTTCTGTCTTTTTTTTTTTATGTGATGATATTTCCTTTTCCATGGTAGGCCTCAAAGAGTTCCAAATATCCATTTATAGATTCTACAAAAAGAGTGTTTCAAAACTGCTCTATCAAAAGGAAGGTTCAACACTGTGAGTTGAATGCACACATTACAAAGAAGTTTCTGAGAATGCTTCTTTCTAGTTTTTATGTGAAGATATTACCTTTTCCAGCATAGGTATCAAAGTGCTCCAAACATCCACTTGCAGATTCTACAAAAAGACTGTTTTAAAACTGCTGTATGAATACGAATGTTCAACTCTCTGAGTTGAATGCACACATCACAAAGAAATTTCTGAGAATGCTTCTGTCTAGTTTTTATGTGAAGATATTTACTTTTCCACCATTGGACTCTAAGCGTTCACAATATCCACTTGCAGATTCTACAAAAAGAGTGTTTCACAACTGCTCCATCAAAAGGAAGGTTCAACTCTGTGAGTCGAATGCACACCTCACAATTCACTTTCTGAGAATGCTTCTGTGTAGTTTTTATATGAAGTTATTTCCTTTTCTACCATAGGCCTCAAAGCGCTCCAAATGTTCACTTGCAGATTCTACAAAAAGAATGTTTCAAAGCTGCTCTATCAAAAGGAAGTTTCATCACTCTGAGTTCAATGCACACATCACAAAGTAGTTTCTGAGAATTCTTCTGTCTAGTTTTTATATGAAGATATTTAGTTTTCCATTGTATGCCTCAAAGCGCTCCAAATATCCCCTTGCAGATTCTACAGAAAGAGTGTTTCAAAACTGCTCAATCAAAAGGAGAGTTCAACTCTCTGATTTGAATGCAAACGTCACGAAGAAGTTTCTGAGAATGCTTCTGTCTAGCTTTTATTTGAAGATATTTCCTTTTCCACCATAGGCTTGAGGGCACTCTAAATATCCACTTGCAGATTCTTCAAAATGAGTGTTTCCATACTGCTCTATCAAAAGGAAGGTTCAAATCTCTGAGTTGAATGCACACATCACAAAGAAGTTTCTGAGAATGCTTCTGTCTAGTTTTTATGTGAAGATGTTTCTTTTTCCACTGTAGGCCTCAAACCGTTCCAAACATCCACTTGCAGATTCTACAAAAATAGTGTTTCAAAGCTGCTCAATCAAAAGAAAGTTGCAACTCTGTGAGTTGAATGCACACATCACAAAGTAGTTTTTGAGAATGCTTCTGTCTAGTTTTTGTGGGAATATATTTCCTTTTCCTCCATAGGCCTCAAAGCGCTCCAAATATCCACTTGCAGATTCTACTAAAGGAGTGTTTCAAAACTGCTCTATCAAAACAAAGGTTCAACTCTGTGAGTTGAATCCACACATCACAAAGAAGTTTCTGAGGATTCTTTTGTCTAGTTTTTACATGAAGATATTTCCGTTTCCACTGAAGGCCTCAAAGTGCTCCAAATATTCACTTGCAGATACTACAAAAAGTGTGTTTCAAAACTGCTTTATCTATAGGAAGTTTCAACTCTGTGAGTTGAATGCACACCTCACAAATAAATTTCTGAGTATTCTTCTGTCTAGTTTTTATGTGAAGATATTCCCGTTTCCACCGTAGGCCTCATAGCACTCCAAATATCCACTGGCAGAGTCTACAAAAAAAGTGTTTCAAACTGCTCTATCAAAAGGAAGCTTCAACCATGTGAGTTGAATGCACACCTCACAAAGAAGATTCTGAGCATGCTTCTGTCTTTTTTTTTTTATGTGAAGATATTTCCTTTTCTATGGGAGGCCTCAAAGAACTCCAAATATCCATTTATAGATTCTACAAAAAGAGTGTTTCAAAACTCCTCTACCAAAAGGAAGGTTCAACTCTGTGAGTTGGATGCACACAGCACAAAGAAGTTTCTGAGAATGCTTCTGTCTAATTTTTATGTGAAGATATTTCCTTTTCCACCATAGGCCTGAAGTTGCTCCACATATCCACTTGTAGATACTACAAAAAGTGTGTTTCAAAACTGCTCTGTCAAATGAAATGTTCAACTCTGTGAGTTGAGTGCACACATCACAAAGAAGTTTCTGAGAATGCTTTTGTCTAGTTTTAAGTGAAGATATTTTCTTTTCCACCATAGGTCTCAAAGCGTTCCAAATATCCACTTGCAGATTCTATGAAAAGAGTGTTTGAAAACTGCTCAATGCAAAGAAAGGTTCAACCGTGTGAGATGAATGCCTACATCACAATGAAGTTCCCCAGAATGCCTCTGTGTAGTTTTTATGAGAAGATATTTACTTTTCCACCATAGGCCGCAAAGCGCTGCAAATTTACACTTGCAGATTCAAAACTGCTCGATCGAAAGAAAAGTTCAACTCTGTGAGATGAAAGCACACATCAGAAAGAAGTTTCTCAGAATGCTTCTGTTTTGTTTTTAGGTGAAGATATTTCCTTTTCCAACATGGGCCTCAAAGCTCTCCATATATCCACTTGCAGATTCTACGAAAGGAGTGTTTCAAAACTGCTCAATCAAAAGAAAGTTTCAACTCTGTGAGATGAATGCCCATTTCATAACGAAGTTTCTCAGAATGCTTCTGTGTAGTTTTTATGTGAAGATATTTCCTTTTCCACAATAGGCCCCAAAGCGTTCCAAATATCCGCATGCAGATTCTACAAAAAGATTGTTTACAAAGTGCTCAATCAAAAGAGAGGTTCAACTCTGTGAGATGAATGCGCACATCACAAAGAAGTTTCTCAGAATGTTTCAGTGTACTTTTTATGGAAAGTTCTTTCCTTTTCCACAACAGGCCACAAAGGGCTCCAAATATCCACTTGCAGATTCAACAAAAAGAGAGTTTCAAAAGTGCTCTATCAAAAAATAGGTTCAACACTGTGAGTTGAATATGCACATAACAAAGAACTTTCTTAGAATGCTCCTGTGTAGTTTTTATGTGAAGACATTTCCTTTACCACCATAGGCCACAAAGCGCTCCAGAAATCCACTTGCAGATTCTACAACAAGATTCCTTCAAAACTGCTCAATCAATAGATAGTTTAAACTCTGTGAGATGAATGCACATATCACAAAGAAGTTTCTCAAAATGCTTCTGTGTAGTTGTTATGTGAAGATATTTCCTTTTCCACAATAGGCCTCAAAGCGCTCCAAATATCCACTTGCAGATTCCAAAAAAAGACTGTAGAAGTTTCTCAGAATGCTTCTGTCTAGTTGTTATGTGAAGACATTTCCTTTTGCACTATACGCCGCAAAGCGCTCCTAATATCCACATGCAGGTTCTACAAAAAGAGTGTTTCAAATCTGCTCAATCAAAAGAAACGTTCAACTCTGTGAGTAGAAAGCACACATCACAAAGAAGTTTATCAGAATGCTTCTGTGTAGTATTTATGTGAAGTTATTCCCTTTTCCACCATAGGCTGCAAAGGGCTCCAAATATCCACTTGCAGATTCTACAAAAAGAATGTTTCTAAAACTGCTGAATCAAAAGAAAAGTTCAACTTTCTGAGTTGAATGCAAACATCACAAATAAGTTTCTCAGAATGTTTCTGTGTAGTTTTTATGTGAAGATATTTCCTTTTCCATCATAGGCCTCAAAGCCTGCCAAATATTCAATTCCAGATTCTATAAAAATAGTGTTTCCAAATTGCTCAATCAAAAGAAACGTTCAACTCTGTGAGATGAATGCACACATCACAAAGAAGTTTCTCAGAATGCTTTTGTCTATTATTTATGTGAAGATATTTCCTTTTCCACCATATGCCTCAAAGCACTATAAATATACACTTGCAGATTCTAAAAAAAGAGATTTTCAAAACTGCTCAATGAAACGAAAGGTTCAAAAGTGTGAGATGAATGTACACAGCTGAAAGAAGTTTCTCAGAATGCTTCTGTCTAGTTTTTATGTGAAACATTTCTTGTCAACAATAGGCCTAAAAGCGCTCCAAATATCCATTTGCAGATACTACAAAAAGAGGCTTTCCAAAATGCTCAATAAAAGAAAGGTTCAACTCTGTGAGTTGAATGTACACATCACAAACAAGTTTCTGAGAATGCTTCTTTCTAGTTTTTATGTGGAGACATTTTCTTTTCCATGATAGGCATCAAAGCGCTCCAAATATCCACTAACAGATTCTGCAAAATAGTGTTTCCAAACTGTTCAATCAAAAGAAACATTCAACCCTGTGAGATGAATGCACACATCACAAAAAAGTTTCTCAGAAGGCTTCTGCCTAGTTTTGATGTGAAGATATATCCTTTTCAACCATAGACCACAAAGCACACCAAATATACATTTGCAGATACTACAAAAAGAATGTTTTCAAACTCTTCAATCAAAGCGAAGGTTCAACTCCATGAGTTCAAAGCACATCATAAAAGAGAATTCTCTGAGAATGCTTCTGTCTAGTTTTTATGTGGAGATATTTCCTTTTCAACTATAGGCCACAAAGCACTCCAAATCTCCATTTGCAGATACAAGAAAAAGACTGTTTCCAAGCTGCTCAGTCAAAAGAAAGTTTCAACTCTGTGAGATGAATGCACACATCACAAAGAAGTTACTGAGAAAGCTTCTGTCAAGTTATTATGTGAAGATATTACCTTTTCCACCATAAGCCTCAAAGCACTCCACACATCCACTTGCAGATTCTACAAAAAGAGTGTTTCAAAACTGCTCTATCAAAAGAAAGGTTCAACTCTGTGAGTTGAACGCACACATCACAAAGTTTCTGAGAACGTTTGTGTCTAGTTTTTATGTGCAGATATTTCCTTTTAAACCACAGGCCTCAAAGCAGTCCAAATATCCACTTGCAGATTCTATGAAAAGAGTGTTTCAAAACTGCTCTATCAACAGAAAGGTACAAATCAGTGAGATGAATGCACACATCACAAAGAAGTTTCTCAGAATGCTTCTGTCACTGTTTTTATGTGGAGATGTTTCCTTTTCAAACATAGGCCTCAAAGCGCTCCAAATATCCATTTTCAGATACTTCAGAAATAGTTCTTCAAACTACTCCATCAAAACAAAGGTTCAACTCTGTGAGTTGAATGTACACATCACAAAGAAGTTTTTGAGAATGTTTCTGTCTAGTTTTTGAGTGAAGATATTTCCTTTTCCATCATATGCTTCAAAACGCTCCTAATATCCACTTGCAGATTCTACAAAAAAGTGCTTCAAAACTGCTCAATTAAAAGAAAGTTTCACCTCTGTGACATGAATGCACACATCACAAAGAAGTTTCTCAGAATGATTCTGCCTAATTTTTATGTGAAGATATTTCCTTTACAACTATAGGCAACAAAGCGATCAAAGTATCCATTTGTAGATACCACAAAAAGATTGTTTCAAAACTGGTCTATCAAATGAAAGGGTCAACTCTCTGACTTGAATGTAAACATCACAACGAAGATTCAGAGAATGCTACTGTCTAGTTTTTATGGGAAGATATTTCCTTTTCACCATCACCCACAAAGCACTCCAAATATCCACTTGCAGATTGTACACAAAGAGTGCCTCAAAGCTGCTCTATCAAAAGAAAGGGTCAATTCTGTGAGTTGAATGCACACATCACAAAGTTGTTTCTGAGAATGCTTCCGTCTAGTTTTTATTTGAAGATATTTCTTTTTACACGGTAGGCCTCAAAGCACTCCAAATATCCACTTGCAGATTCTATAAAAAGAGTGTTTCAAAACTGCTCTATCAAAAGAAAGGTTCAACAGCGAGAGTTGAATGCACACATCACAAAGAGGTTTCTGAGAATGATTCTGTATAGTTTTTATGTGAAGATATTTCCTTTTCCACCATAGGGGACAAAGCAATCCAAATGAGCACTTGCAGATTCTACAAAAAGAGAGTTTCAAAACTGCTCTATCAAAAGAAATGTTCAACTCTGTGAGTTGAGTGCAGACCTCAGAAAGAACTTTCTGAGAATGCTTCTGTCTAGTTTTTATGTGAAGATATTCCCATTTCAAACCAAGGCCTCACAAGTCTCCAAGTATCCACTAGCAGATCCTACAAAAGGAGTGTTTCAAAACTGCTCTATCAAAAAACAGGTTCAACCCTGTGAGTTGAATGCACACATCAGAAAGAAGTTTCTGAGAATGCTTCTGTCTAGTTTTTATGTGAAGATATTTCCTTTTCCACCATAGGCCTCAAATCCCTGCAAATATCCACTTGCAGATTTACAAAAGGACGGTTTCAAAAGTGCTCTACCAAAAGGAAGGTTCAACTCTGAGAGTTGAATGCACACATCACAAAGAAGTTTCTGGAGAATGCTTTTGTCTAGTTTTTATGTGAAGATATTTCCTTTCCCACCATTGGCCTCAAAGCGCTCCAAATGAACACCTGCAGATTCTACAAAAGGGGTGTTTCAAAACTGCTCTATCCAAAGAACGGTTCAGCCCTGTGAGTTGAATGCACACATCACAAAGCAGTTTCTGAGAATGCTTCTCTCTAGTTTCTATGTGAAGATATTCTGGATTACAACGAAGGCCTCAAAGAGCTCCAAATATCCACTAGCAGATTCTACAAAAAGAGTGTTTCAAAACTGCTCTATGAAAAGAAAAGTTCAACTCTGTTAGTTGAATGCACACGTCACAAAGCAGTTTCTGAGAATGCTTCTGTTTAGTTTTTATGTGAAGATATTCCGGTTTACAACGAAGGCCTCAAAGAGCTCCAAATATCCACTAGCAGATTCTACAAAAGGAGTGTTTCAAAACTGCTCTAAGAAAAGAAAGGTTCAACTCTGTTAGTTGAATGCACACATCACAAAGCAGTTTCTGAGAATGCTTCTGTCTAGTTTTTATGTGACGACATTTTCTTTTACACCATTAACCTCAAAGTGCTCCAAGTGAAGAATTGCAGATTCTACAAAAAGAGTGTTTCAAAACTGATCTATCCAAATAAAAGTTCAACTCTGTGAGCTGAATGCACACATCAAAAAGCAGTTTCTGAGAATCCTTCTGTCTAGTTTTTATGTGAAGATATTTCCTTTTCCACCATTGGCCTCAAAGCACTCCAAGTGAACACTTGCAGATTCTACAAAAAGAGTGTTTCAAAACTGCTCTATAAAAAGAAAAGTTCAACTCTGTGACTTGAATGCTTACATCACAAAGAAGTTTCTGAGAATGCTTCTGTCTAGTTTTTATGTGAAGATATTTCTTTTTCCACCATAGGCAACAAAGCGCCCCAAATGAACACTTGCAGATTCTACAAAAAGACTGTTTCAAAACTGCTCTATCAAAAGAAAGGTTCAAATCTGTGAGTTGAATGCCCAAATTACATAGTATTTTCTGGGAATGTTTCTGTCCAGTTTTTGTGGGAAGATATCCATGTTTCCAACAAAGGCCTCAAAACTCTCCAAATATCCACTAGCAGATTCTACAAAGCGAGTGTTTCAAAACTGCTCTATGAAAAGAAAGGTTCATCTCTGTTAGTTGAATGCGCACATCAAAAAGAAGTTTCTGAGAATGCTTCTATCTAGTTTTTATGTGAAGATATTCCTGTTTCCAACGAAGCCTCAAAAATCTCCAAATAGCCACTAGCAGATTCTACAAAAGGAGTGTTTCAAACCTGTGCTATCAGAAGAAAGGTTCAAATCTGTTAGTTGAATGCACATATCACAAAGAAGTTCCTGAGAATACTTCTGTCTTGTTATTATGTGAAGATATTTCCTTTTCCACCGTAGGCCTCAAATCGCTCCAAATATCCAATTGCAGATTCTACAAAAAGACTCTTTCAAAACTGATCTCTCAAAAGGAAGGTTCAACTCGATGAGTTAAATGTACACATAACAAGTTAGTTTCTGAGAATGCTTCTGTCTAGTTTTTATGTGAAGATATTTCCTTTTCCACCATAGGCCTCAAAGCACTCCAAATGAACACTTGCAGATTCCACAAAAAAAGTGTTTCAAAACTAATCTATCAAATGAAAGGTTCAACATTGTGAGTTGCATGCACACATCACAAAGCAGTTTCTGAGAATGCTTCTGTCTAGTTTTTATGTGAAGATATTCCCTTTTCCACCATAGGCCTCAAATCCCTGCAATTATCCACTTGCAGATTTTACAAAAAGACTTTTTTAAAAGTGCTCTATCAAAAGGAAGGTTCAACTCTGCGAGTTGAATGCACACATCATAAGGAAGTTTCTGAGAATGCTTCTGTCTAGTTTTTATGTGAAGATATTTCCTTTCCCACCATTGGCCTCAAAGCACTCCAAATGAACACTTGCAGATTCTACAAAAGGAGTGTTTCAAAACTGCTCTATCCAAAGAACAGTTCAACCCTGTGAGTTGAATGCACGCATCACAGAGAAGTTTTTGAGAATGCTTCTGTCTAGTTTTTATGTGAAGATATTCTGGTTTACAACGAAGACCTCAAAGAGCTCCAAATATCCACTAGCAGATTCTACAAAAGGAGTGTTTCAAAACTGCTCTATGAAAAGAAAGTTCAACTCTGTTAGTTCAATGCAGACATCACAAAGCAGTTTCTAAGAATGCTTCTGTCTAGTTTTTATGCGAAGACATTTTCTTTTACACCATTGGCCTCAAAGCACTCCAAATGAAGAATTGCAGATTCTACAAAAAGAGTTTTTCAAAACTGCTCTATCCAAAGAAAGGTTCAACTCTGTGAGTTGAATGCACACATCACAAAGCAGTTTCTGAGAATCCTTCTGTCTAGTTTCTATGTGTAGATATCCCGTTTACAACAAATTCTTCAAAGAGCTCCAAATACCCACAAGCAGATCCTATAAAAGGGATGTTTCAAAACTGCTCTATCAAAAGAAAGGTTCAACTCTGTGAATTGAATGCACACATCACAAAATAGTTTCTGAGAATGCTTCTGTCTAGTTTTCATGTGAAGTTATTTCCTTTTCCACCTTTGGCCTCAAAGCGCCCCAAATGAACACTTGCAGATTATACAGAAAGAATGTTTCAAATCTGCTCTATGAAAAAAAAATGTTCAACTCTGTGAGTTGAATGCACACATCACAAAGAACTTTCTGAGAATAGTTATTTCTAGTTTTTTCTGAATATAGCCCTTTTCCAATGAATTCCTCAAAAAGTTTCATATATCCACAAGCAGATTCTACAAAAGAAGTGTTTCAAAACAACTCTGTCAAAGGAAAGGTTCAACTCTGAGACTTGAATGCACACATCACAAAGTAGTTTCAGAGAGCTTCTGTCTAGTTTTTATGTGAGGATATAAACTCTTCCAAAATAGGCTTCAAAGTGCACCAGATATCCACTTCCAGATTCTACAAAGAGTGTTTCAAAACTGCTTTATCAAAAGAAAGGTTCAACTCTGTGAGTTGAATGCACACATCACAACTAAGTTTCTGAGAATGTTTCTGTCTAGTTTTTATGTGAAGATATTTCCTTTTCCAGCGTAGGCCTCAAGCGCTTGAAATATCCACTTGCATATTTTATCAAAGAGTGTTTTAATACTGCTTTATCAAAACAAAGTTCAACTCTGTCATTTGAATGTAAACATCACAAAGAGGTTTCTGAGAATGCTTCTGTCTTGTTTTCATGTGAAGATATTTTCGTTTCCACCGTAGGCCTCAAAGCACTCCAAAAATGCACTTGCATATTCTACAAAAAGAGTGTTTCAAAACTGCTCTATTAATAGAAAGGTTCAACTCTGTTAGTTGAATGCACACATCAGAAAGAAGTTTCTGAGAATGCTTCTGTCTAGTTTTTATGTGAAGACATTTCCTTTTCCACATAGGCCTCAAAGATCTCCAAATATCCACTTGCAGATTCTACAAAAAGAGCTTTTCAAAACTGCTCTATCAAAAGAAAGTTTCAACTCTGTGAGCTGAATGGACACATCACAAGGAAGTTTATGAGAATGCTTCTGTCTTGTTTTTAGGTGAGGATATATACTTTTCCACCGTAGGCCTCAAAGCGCACGAAATATCCACTACCAGATTCTACAAAAAGGGTGTTTCAAAAGTGCTCAATCAAAAGCAAGGTTCTACTCTGTTATTTCAATGCACACATCACAAAGAAGTTTCTGAGAGTGCTTCTGTCTACTCTTTATGTGAAGATATTCCCCTTTCCACCATAGGAATCACAGCGTTCCAAGTATCCACTTGCAGACTCTACAAAAAGAGTGTTTCAGAACTGCTCTATCAAAAAAAATGGTTCAACTCTGTTAGATGAATGCACACATCACAAAAAAACTTTTGATAATGCTTCTGTCCAGTTTTTATTTGAAGATATTCCCGTTTCCACAGAAGGCCTTAAAGCGCTCCAAATATCCATTTGCAGATCCTTCAAAAAGAGTGTTTCAAAACTGCTCCATCAAAAGGAAGGTGCAACTCTGTGAGTTGAATTCACACATCTCAAAGAAGTTTCTGA